>NW_003571058.2:0-195632 GCF_000001405.40 Homo sapiens
TGTCAGTTGCTTGGTGTGGTGAAGCAATGAGAGTGTTTTTTTCGGGGGAGGAGGTGTCAGATAGATCAAGAATTTATAATTAGCATAAGAAATGTACTTCTTAACAAAGCCAGCCTGGGCAACATAGTGAGATTCCCATCTCTACAAAAAAAAAAAAAAAAAAATTAGCCCAGTGTGGTGGTGCACACCTGTGGCCCCAGCTACTTGGGAGGCTGAGGCAGGAGGATTGCTTGAGCCTGGGAGGTCAAGGCTGCAGTGAGCTATGATTGTGCCACTGCACTCCAGTCTGTGTGACAGTGCAAGACCCTGTCTCAAAAAATAAAAAGAAAAAAAAAGAAACATACTAAAAAAGGACACATATTAGCAATATGAAACAAGAACAATTTTCCATAAAGCAAGAGGCTTATGGAAATAAAAAGTATAAAAATACATGATGGTAAAAAATATATAACATTATCCTCTAACAGAATAGGCAGTAGGGTGGGTGCCGTGGCTCACGCCTGTAATCCCAGCACTTTGAGAGGCTGAGGTGGGATGATCACTTGAGACCAGGAGTTCGAGACCAGTCTGGGCAACATGGTGAGACCGTGTCTCTTTAAAAAAAAAAAAAAAAAAGGCAGAATTGATACAGCTGAAGAAAAATGAACAAGTAAGAAAATGTGGTGGAGGAACTTCTCCAGGAAGCTGATATAATTATATTAAGATCAGAAAAAATAAGAGAAAAGTCATCGTACGATATAAGGGACAGGTGTTTCTCAAAATCCAAAATCTTCTCTGCTAAGAGAATCCTGATTTTGTTTTTGTTTTTGTTTCTTGAGATGCAGTCTTGCTCTGTCGCCCAGGCTAGAGTGCAGTGGTGCAATCTCAGCTCACTGCAAACTCCACCTCCCAGATTCAAGTGATTCTCCTGCCTCAGCCTCCCCAGTAGCTGGATTACAGGTGCTCGCCACCACACCCAGCTAATTTTTGAATTTTTAGTAGAGACGGGGTTTCACCATGTTGGTCAGGCTGGTCTCAAACTCCTGACCTCGTGATTCGCCCACCTCAGCCTCCCAAAGTGCTGGGATTACAGGCCTGAGCCACCGCACCCAGCCGAGAACCCTGATTTTGTTCAGGTGTCAGTTGGCCACCCTTGTTCCTTGGAGACTTGGCCCTTTTCTAGTTTCAGGCATGAATCTTGATTAGTCTAAGGCTTAGTGACGTGCTGGTTGTGAAAGTGTGGTCCCTGAACCAGCAGCGTCAGCATCACCTGGGAGCTCGTCAGAAAGGCAAATTCTTGAGCCCCACCCCAGACCTACTGAATCAGTCAGAAACTCTGAAGGTGAGCTTTTCCTTTCTCCTCCTCTCCAACCTATGGTTTGACAAGTCCTCCAGGTGATTCTGATGCACACTGAAGTTTAAACACCTTTAGCCCAGTTAGGTAAACTCACGCCCACTGCTAGTGGTTATTTAAGGAAGGGGCTGGATGCAATTGTGTTTCTTGAGATGTGAGTGGAAATCTCGTGGGAGGCTTCCTCATGTTGGAGAGGGCCGCGTTGGAAGGGCCTTTCTATGCCCTTCGTCTGCTTTTTATCTCATCCTTTCCAAAAAATTAACTTTTTATTTATTTATTTGAGACAGAGTCTTGCTCTTGTCGCCCAGGCTGGAGTGCAGTGGCGCGATCTCGGCTCACTGCAACCTCCACCTCCTGGGTTCAAGCAATTCTCCTGCCTCAGCCTCCCGAGTAGCTGGGGCTACAGGCACCTGCTACTATGCCCAGCTAATTTTTGTATTTTCCGTAGAGACAGGGCTTCACCATGTTGGCCAGGCTGGTCTCAAACTCCTGACCTCAAGTGATCTGCCCACCTCAGCCTCCCAAAGTGCTGGCATTACAGGAGCGAGCCACCTCACCTGGCTTAACTTTTTATTTTAAAATAGTTCTGGAGGCCAGGTGTGGCAGCTCACGCCTATAATCCCAGCACTTTGGGAGTCTGAGGCAGAAGGATCTCTTGAGCCCAGGTGTTCAAGACCAGCCTGGGCAACATGGCAAAATCCCATCTCTACAAAAAAGTTTTTAAAAATTAGCATTTGCCTGTGCGTCCAGCTTCTCAGGAAGCTGAGGCGGGAGGATCACTTGAGCTTAGGAGGTCAAGGCTGCAGTGAGACACCATACTGGGATTACAGGCGTGAGACACCACTCCAGGTCTGGGTTCTCTTTTTTTTTTTTTTTTTTTTTGAGACAGAGTCTCACTCTTTCGCCCAGGCTGCAATGAAGTGGCACCATCTTGGCTCACAGCAACCTCCACCCCGCAGATTCAAGCGATTCTCCTGCCTCAGCCTCCTGAGCAGCTGGGATTACAGGCGCCCGCCACCAAGCCTGGCTAATTTTTATATTTTAGAGATGCCCAGGCTGGAGTACAGTGGTGCGATCTCAGCTCAACACAACCTCCACCTCCCGGATTCAAGTGATTCTCCTGCCTCAGCCTCCCCATTAGCTGAGATTACAGGCATGCACCACCACGCCCGGCTAATTTTGTATTTTTAGTAGAGACAGGGTTTCTCTGTGTTGGTCAGGTTGGTCTCCAATTCCTGACCTCCGGTGATCTGCCTGCCTCGGCCTCCCAAAGTGCTGGGATTACGGGTGTGAGCCACTGTGCCCGGCTGATCTTACATTTTCTTGTGCACTTATTCATGAGCTTTTTTTTTTTTTATGAAAATGAATTCCTACCATCCATTCTCCTTCCAAACTGCTCATACCCAGTATTCCCAAGGTTTTTGCACATGTATATAACAGAATGTCAAAGTAGATTCATTGCAATCTCAGTTTCTGCTCAGGCCCAAAGATTATAGATGCCAGCGAGGTCAGATCTCACAGTAAGGCCATTTCTGCATGACTTCAGGAGAAAATGCTGAAAACCTAATTTCCCCACACCCTTGGCCTCTTGTCCACCTGAAGGTAAGAAAGGAGTGTTGGGGGGAAGGGGGAGGGATAGCATTAGGAGATATACCTAATGCTAAATGACGAGTTAGTGGGTGCAGCACACCAGCATGGCACATGTATACATATGTAACTAACCTGCACATTGTGCACATGTACCCTAAAACTTAAAGTATAATAATAATAAAATAAAATAAAAATAAATAAATAAATAAAAATTAAAAAAAGAAAAAAAAAAGAAAGGAGTGTTGAGATTAGAAGGTATTTTTTTTCCTATTGGGATACAGGTGGTGTTTGGTTGCATGAGTAAGTTCTTTAGTGGTGCTTTGTGAGATTGTGGTGTAGCCATCACCCAAGCAGTATACACTGCACCCCATTTATAGTCTTTTATCCCTCGCCCCCCTCTCACCTTTCCCCCCAAGTCCCCAAAGTCCATTGTATCATTCTTATGCCTTTGCATCCTCATAGTTTAGCTCCCACATATCAGTGAGAACATATGATGTTTGGTTTTCCATTCCTGAGTTACTTCACTTAGAATAATAGTCTCCAGAGATTAGAAGAGTTTTTGTTTTGTTTTGTTTCTGTGTGTTTGTTTACGTAAGCTGTTGGTGTGCTGTGAGTCCCATCCTCTGTCCACCGTAGATGTGTGATGGAGGATGACAGTCTCTTCAACTGGACAATTCAGAGTAGTTATATGGGGTGAGGGGCGGGTCCAGAGAGGAATGGGGTCTGATATGGTTTGGCTTTATGTCCCCACCCAAATCTCATCTTGAATTGTAATCCCCAGGTGTTGGGGGAGGAACCTGGTGGGAGGTGATTGAATCATGGAGGTGGCTTCTACCTTGTTGTTCTCATGATAAAGTGAGTTCTCAGGAGATCTGATGGTTTTATAAGCGTTTGGCAAGTTCCTCCTTTGCTTGCTCTTCTCTCTCTCTTGTTGCCTTGTGAAGAAGATATTTGCTTCTCCTTCCCCTTCTGCCATGACTGTAGTTTCCTGAGGCCACCCTAGCCATGTGGAATTGTAAGTCAATTAAATCTCTTTCTTTTTTTTTTGAGACTGAGCCCCCCTGTCATCCAGGCTGGTGTGCAGTGGTGCAATCTCAGCTCACTGCAACCTCCGCCTCCTGGGTTCAAGCGATTCTCCTGCCTCAGCCTACCGAGTAACTGGGACAACAGGCATGCGCCAATAGCCGGCTAATTTTGTATTTTTAGTAGAGGTGGCGTTCACCATGTTGACCAGGCTAGTCTCGAACTCCTAACCTCAAGTGATCCGCCCACCTCAGCCTCCCAAAGTGCTAAGATTACAGGTGTGAGCCACCACACACGGCCTCGGCTATTTATAGCAGTGTGAGAACGGGCTAACACAGGGTCTTTCCTCACTGGAGAGAGAGGGTGGGAGGAGAGAGAGAGGGTGGGAGGGGAGAGAGGGGAGAGGGGAGAAATGGGGGAGGGGGGGAGAGGGGGGAGAGAGAATGAATATGAGAATGAATGTACCAGGAGCTTTTATCCTTTGCAGGAGCGCCACCTGGAGGTAGGAGGTGAAGTCTGCAGAGAGAAGCTGGAAATGTACTGACGGATCCCCAAGGATTCAGTAATGTGACCAAGTGGAGGAGCTGCATTTACAGGCATCAAGGGAACTGCAGGTGAGAGGTCTGCAGCCTTGCAAGAGAGTGGGGGAAGCAGGAGAAGCTCCACGTGGGGAGATAAAGGAAAAGCTGACCACGCTTCCTCCACGTTGCAGGCAACCTGCCGAAAGGATTTTAATCACTGAGCTGACACTGTATTTTTTTCTTGTATGTGACTTTTTTAAGAAGCAGCTGGAAGTCTTTATGACCTAAGATGACTATAAAAATTATGAGAAGGCCGGGCGCAGTGGCTCACACCTGTAATCCTAGCACTTTGGGAGGCCAAGGTGGGCGGATCACTTAAGGTCAGGAGTTCGAGACCAGCCTGGCCAACATGGCGAAACCCTGTCTCTACTAAAAATACAAAAATTAGCTGGGCGTGGTAGCACATGCTTGTAATCCCAGCTGCTCGGGAGGCTGAGGCAGGAGAATCACTTGAACCTGGGAGGCAGAGGTTGCAGTGAACCATGACTGCACCATAGCACTCCAGGCTGGGCAACAGAGCAAGACTGTCTCAAAAAAAAAAAAAGTTATGAGACTTGCTTTACATGTCACCCAAGGGCACAGGTAAAGAATTAGACCTAGGAGTTGGGTTGATAGGGCAATGGGAAAAAAGAAAAAAATTGTTTACTGAATCAAGGGAATAATCACACCTACATCTTTGCAACTCACGTGCTTACAACTAGGGCAACCAAATTGTTCCGGTTCGCCCAGGATTTTCTCTGGTTTAGCCCTGAAATTTCTGTGTCCTGGGAAATTCCTCATTTCTATTTTAAAACCGAAAGTCCCACATCCTAAGACACACACACACGCCCCTGCACACACCAATCCTGGTAAAACGGTAACAGTTGGTCATACTATCTACAACAACCCTATTCGAGATCTGTGTCTTCACGATGAGGAAAGGCACATGCAGTTCTGGAGATTTTAACACGTGTTCCCAAGGTCACACAACCTGCCCTTGTATCCAGCACTGAAAGCAGATGACTCTCCTCTTTCCACGATTCTAAGCCTCTTCCCGTAGCATGTCCCATGTGGAGGAGAAAAGTTAAGAAAATGAAACTGGCCAAAACTTGCTACTGCATTTGTGATTTTAGAAAGTAAATGATCAGACATTATTAAAATTATCAATGCAAAAAGAAAGTGAGACTGAACAGATTGTTTACCTTAACAAGATCAAGTTAAACTCGTATAGGGCTTATATATAATGCCGCTTAAAAGCTCAAGTTTATGCGGGGCAGTTTTGGTGGAAGAAGCTCAGGCAGTCCCTCTGGTGGTCGTTATAGATCTGGCCGTGGAACTGGTGGATATGAAAACAGAAGGTTCTAAAAACAGCAGAAAAGGGCAACAGTTCTTAGCAGGAGAGACAGTGAGGAAAGCTGCAGGTTACTTGGAGACAGTCATCCCAAATGCATTAGAGGAGGTGTAAAAATCTGCCACAGAAGGAACAATGATCCATAGTCAGAAAAGTTACTGCAGCTTAAGCAGGAAACCCTTCTTGTTCAGGACTGTCATAGCCACAGTTTGCAAAAAGTGCAGCTATTGATTAATGTGATGTAGTGTCAATTAGAGGTACATCCCTGAGGTCTTTAAAACAAAACAAACTCAGCCAGGCACGGTGGCTCACACCTGTAATCCCAGTGCTTTGGGAAGCTGAGGCAGGCAGATCACCTGAGGCTGGGAGATTGAGACCAGCCTGGCTAACATGGTGAAACCCCGTCTCTACGAAAAATACAAAAATTAGCCCGGCATGGTGGTGGGCGCCTGTAATCCCAGCTACTCAGGAGGCTAAGGCAGGAGAATTGCTTGAACCCAGGAGGTGGAGGTTTCAGTGAGCCAAGATCGTGCCACTGCACTCCAGCCTGGGTGACAAGAGTGAAACTCCGTCTCAAAAAATAAATTAAATAAATAAATAATTAGCTGGACGTGGTGGCAGGCACCTGTAATCCCAGCTACTTGGGAGGCTGAGGCAGGAGAATCACTTGAGCCTGGGAGGTGGAGGTTGCAGTGACCAGAGATCGTGCCACTGAACGCCAGCCTGGGCAACAGAGCAAGATTCTGTCTCAAAAACAAAAACAAAAACAAAAAAAGGCTCAAGTTTATGAATGAACTGTTCATATCAGGTGATGGTCTTTCAAAATAATGACTGTTTTGTACCAACTATTGTGCTCATGTGATTGATTGAACAATGCTTCCAAAGAATTTGAAACAATAAGGCAAAGAAACCTAATGTTCATAACAGAAAAAAAAATTAAATGTATAGCACTAGAAAAATTGATTTTTTTTTTTTTGAGACAGGGTCTCACTCTGTCACCCAGGCTGGAGTGCAGTGGTGCAATGATGGCTCACTGCAGCCTCCACCTCCTGGGCTCCAGCGATCCTCCTGCCTCAGCCTCTAGAGTAGCCCGGACTACAAGCATGCACCACCATGCTCAGCTAATTTTTGTATTTTTAGTATAGACAGGGTTTTACCATTTTCCCCAGGCTGGTCTCGAACTCCTATGCTCAAGCAATCAACTTGCCTCAGCCTCCCAAAGTGCTGGGATTACAGGCATGAACCACAGAGCCTGGCATGATACTAGAAAAATTCTTTTTTTTTTTTTGACATTTAAGTTCAGGGGTACATGGGCAGGATGTGCAGGTTTGTTACACGGGTAAACGTGTGTCATGGGGGTTTGTTGTACAGATTATTTTTTTTCTAGTGTATTTACTACTTCCTGATTATCAGATTATTTTATCACCCAGTTATTAAGCCTAGTACCCACTAGTTATTTTTCCTGATCCTCTCTCTGCTACCACCCTCCACCCTCTGACAGGCCCCAGCATGTGTGAAAAATTCTTATAGTCTTCTAGAAAATACAATAGGTAGCCTTTGGAACATAGGGTATCATAAAGAGAAGCTGTAGAAAATATATTTCTTTGAATTTTTTTTTTTTTTTTTTTTTACAAATGATCACTATAATGTTTAAAATATGTTTACCACCTACAGTTGTGTGCTAGGGAAGCCATAACAAAATGCCCCCCACTGGGGGGCTTATGGGACAGAAATGGATTTTCTCACCGTTCTGCAGGCTGGAAATCCAAGATGGAGGTGCCAGTAGGGTCAGTTTCTCCCGGGGTCTCTCTGCTTTGTATGCAGATGGCCGCCTTCTTGCTGTGTCTCCACGTGGTCTTTCCTCTGGATGTACATATCCTGGTGTCCTTTTCTTTTTTTTTTTTTTGAGTTGGAGTCTTACTCTGTTGCCCAGCTGGAGTGCAATGACACGATCTCAGCTCACTGCAGCCTCTGCCTCCTGGATTCAAGCGATTCCCCTGCCTCAGCCTATCGAGTAGCTGGGATTACAGGCGTGCACCACCGCGCCCAGCTAATTTTTGTATTTTTAGTAGACATGGGGTTTGGCCATGTTGGCCAGGCTGGTCTTGAACTCCTGACCTCAGGCGATCCGCCCACCTGGGCTTCCCAAAGTGCTGAAATTACAGGCGTGAGCCACCACACGTAGCCCCTAGTGTCTTTTTTATGTCCAAATTTCCTTTTTTCACAACGGCCTCTTGTCTCTAAATACAGTCACATTCTGAGTTACTGGGAGTTAGGATTCAGCACACGAATTTTGAGGAGATGTAATTCAGCCCATAATTAAGCCCTATCCTCATCAGACTGATGATCTGTGCTTTCTCTGAACTAACAGGATTTATATATTCCTTTTTAACAGCAAGGAACTCAGGTTCTCCATGGCCCCTTTATGAAGTTGCTCCTGCTGGTACATGACCCTCAGTTAGTTTCCTGAAGTTATTTACAAAGCCACCTCCACATGTGTTGAGCCTCTTCAGTTTACTTCAAATCCTGGGCCTGTGCTGCATGGCGGTGCTTTCCACAGATTCATATGTTAGATCTTTTCTATTTTTTTTTCTGAGACAGAGTTTCCCTCTGTCGCCCAGGCTGGAGTGCAATGGTGTGATCTCGGCTCACTGCAACCTCTGCCTCCTGGGTTCAAGCAATTCTCCTGCCTCAGCCTCCTGAGTAGCAGGGACTACAGGCGTGTGCCACTATTCCCAGCTAATTTTTGTATTTTTAGTAGAGGCAGGGTTTCACCATATTGGCCAGGATGGTCTCGATCTCTTGACCCCATGATCCTCCCACTTTGACCTCCCAAAGTGTTGGGATTACAGGTGTGAGCTACCGCGCCTGGCCACATATTAAATCTTTTTTTTTTTTTTTTTTTTTGAGACAGAGTCTTGCTCTGTCACCCAGGCTGGAGTGCAATGATGGATCTCGGCTCACTGCAAGCTCCGCCTCCCAGGTTCATGCCATTTTCCTGCCTCAGCCTCCCGAGTAGCTGAGACTACAGGCACCCGCCACCACACCTGGCTAATTTTTTGTATTTATAGTAGAGATATGTTAGCCAGGATGGTCTCGATCTCCTGACCTCATGATCCACCCACCTCGGCCTCCCAAAGTGCTGGGATTACAGGCGTGAGCCACCGCGCCCGGCCTCATGTTAAATCTTGACACCCAATGTGATCTGAGAGGTTGGGCCTTTGGTGATGGCAGCAGCCACTCCAGACGGCTTGCTGCTGCCATGACGCCACCTGCCCCAGGGAGGCCCAGCCCGGGCTATACACGCTATGGAGCCGCAGGGAGCCCTGCCCCTTCCGAGTTGGGGCGGGAGCTCCCAGGGTGATGCTACAGCTGTCCAAACCCCAGCTGTGGATCCGAGCCTCCCTCAGATCGTATCACATATCAAGACTTACTCTTGTTGACAAAAAGAGTCAAACTCTATAAAATATTTGAAGAGATTTATTCTGAGCCAAATATGATAATGACCATGGCCCCTGACACAGCCCTAAGGAGGTCCTGAGACCATGTACCCAAGGTGGTCGGGGGGCAGCTTGGTTTTATACATTTTAGGGAGGCGTGAGGCATCAATCAAACACATTTGAGAAATACATTGGTTTGGTCCAGAAAGGCTGGACAATTTGAAGGAGGCAGGGCCTTCCAGGCTTTAGGTAAATTAAAACATTTTCTGGTTGACAATTGGTTGAGTTTGTCTAAAGACCTGGGATTAATAGAGAGGAAATATTCAGGTTAAGATAAAAGATTGTGGAGACCAAGGTTCTTTTGAAGTCTTATAGTGGCTGCCCTTAGAGACAATAGATGACAAATGTTTCCTACTCAGACCTTCAAAAGTTGCTAGATTCTCAGTTAACCTCCTCAGGATTGGGAGGTCCTGGAGGAAAAAGATCTAGCAATGTTAACAGAGATCCTTTACATATGCAAATATTCCCCCCCACCAAGGACAGCTTTGCAGGGCCATTTAAAAATATGGCAAAGAAACATGTTTTGGGGTAAAATATTTTTATTTTCTTCTTTGTTAGGTAATGTTATGCCAGAGTCAGATTGGAAAGTAAGTCACGATATATAGGGCTAAATAAAACCCATCTGATGAGAATTTATGGTTTGTAGGGCATGAGACCCCAGACCCCTTAGATAAGAATCTGGGCAAGATAAAAAAAAAAAATCAGAGCTGAGTCCTCACTATGGTAATTCAGTGAGTGTGACTACCAGCATAGATGTCCATAAAGGATATCCATTAGGGCCACCCATTTTAATAATGTTTGCCAGGACCCTTCAATCAAAACAAAATCCATTCTCAGAATAGCTTAGAATCAAAGGAGGACTTTTTGGGTTTTTTTGGTTCAAGAAGGATTGGGCAAGAAAACTGCAGGGAGTGAAGGAATGCTGAGCTTTGGAAGCAATTAGAACCAAGAAAACAAAAGCTGAAAGCACTGTTACTCACTCCCGCTTCCCGGATGCTCCCTGAGTCATCTTTGTGTTTCTCCATAAAGACTGGCTTCCTCCACATGGCGAGACAGATGGCCACCAAGAACTCCCAAGCTTAAAAAAGAATGACTCTCTGTGGCAAGAAAACAAAGAGACACTCCTCCCCACCTTGCTACTCCCTATGTGGCCTCCACACTGCAACCTGGGACTGTGTAGTGAGGGGAGGGGGAGCGAAGAAGTTTGCGTTAGTCTGTTTTCACACTGCTGATAAAGACATACCTGAGACTGAGTAATTTATTTTTATTTTTATTTTTATTTATTTATTTTTTTGAGACGCACTCTGTCACCCAGGCTGGAGTGCAGTGGCACGATCTCCGCTCACTGCAAGCTCCGCCTCCCGGGGTCACACCATTCTCCTGCCTCAGCCTCCTGAGTAGCTGGGACTACAGGCGCCCGCCACCGCGCCCGGCTAATTTTTTGTATTTTTAGTAGAGACGGGGTTTCACTGTGTTATCCAGGATGGTCTCGATCTCCTGACCTCATGATCCACCCGCCTCGGCCTCCCAGAGTGCTGGGATTACAGGCGTGAGCCACTGCGCCCAGTCAGTTTACTTTTTAAAAAAGAGGTATAACGGACTTACAGTTCCACATGGCTGGGGAGGCCTCACAATCATGGCAGAAGGTGAAAGGCACATCTTACATGGTGGCAGACGACAGAGAAATGAGAGAGCCAAGCAAAAGGGGAAACCCGTTATAAAAACCTCAGCTCTCCTGAGACTTGTTCACTACCATGAGAACGGCATGGGGGAATGTGTGGGTGGAGGATTAGCCAGGTGCTGAGGCAAGAGACTGAAGGCACAAACTGTTGCAGTATAATAAAGAAAATAGAATAAGAATAGTCATAATACAAATTAGATGTAGAGATGATCATGGACAATTATCAATCATTATTATAAACATTATTAATCATTAGCTTTTAATATTACTCTTTGCTGCATTACTAATATAACCTAGGAATAACCGGCGGGTATAGGGTCAGGTGCTGAAGGGACATGGTGAGAAGTGACCTAGAAGGCAAGAGGTGAGCCCTCTGTCACGCGTGCATCAGGGCCGCTTGAGGGGTCCTTGGTCAAGCGGTAACGCCAGTGTCTGGGAAGGCACCCGTTACTTAGCAGACGGTGAAAGGGAGTCTCCTTTCCTTGGAGGAGTCAGGGAACACTCTGCTCCACCAGCTTCTTGTGGAAGGCTGGATATTATCCAGGCCTGCCCGCAGTCATCCGGAGGCCTAAACCCCTCCCTGTGGTGCTGTGCTTCAGTGCTCACACTCCTTGTCCACTTTCATGCTCCTCCCGTACTCCTGGCTCCTCTTTGAAGTTCATAGTAGATAGCGGTAGAAGAAATAGTGAAAGTCTTAAAGTCTTTGATCTTTCTTATAAGTGCATGGAAGAAAACGCTGACGTATGCTGCCTTCTCCCTCTCTCTCTGCTTCGGCTACCTAAGAGGGAAGGGCCCCCTCTCCTGTGATCACACGACTTGCTTCACCTTGTCAATCACTTCGAAGATTCACCCTGCTTACCCTGCCCCCTTATCTTGTATGCAATAAGTATCAGCGCGCCCAGCCGTTATGGGCCACTACCGGTCTCCGCGTCTTGATGGTTGTGGTCCTCCGGGCCCAGCTGTTTTCTCTTTATCTCTTTGTCTTGTGTCTTTATTTCTTACAATCTCTTATCTCTGCACACGGGGAGAACACCTGCAAAGCCCCATAGGACCCTGCAGGAATCCACCCCCATGATTGAATTATCTCCCACTGGGTCCATCCCACAACACATGGGAATTATGGGAGCTACAACTGAAGATGAGATTTGGGTGGGGACACAGACACAAGCCATATATCAAGGTTGTTCCTTCAGATGCAGCAATCCTGGGAGCTTCTGGTTAGGACAAGATACAAGCAGAGACAGCTTCATGGGTATTGTAAACTCAATGTTTGTGTCCCGACAAAATTCAGCTGTTGGAACCTAACCCCAAGGTGATGGTATTTGTAATACGGGAGCTAAAAAGAAATTATTGAGGCAGACAGTGAGGGTAAGAGAGTCCTCAGTAAGGTTTCCTATTAATAAAGAGCAGCCCCCAAATAATTTCTTTTCTAACAGAAAGCAGCCTGAAACATCAAGCTGCAAGCATAGATAAACAAGCTAAAATCTTGCATCAGCTGTGCCAATAGAAAACGGATGCCTGGGAGCCGGGTATATTCAACATGGAGGTTCCCTCTTCCCTTTTCTTTGTCCCCACATGTGCAGTAAAAAAGCAGACAACATGGCCCCGGCCAGGCAGAGACCCTACCTACGTAATAAAAGATTAGGGTGGGATGGCCAGCTTCTTTGGGGGCTATGCAAACGTCATACCTGGTCCGACTAATCTCTCAGGCCCTATGTAAATCAGACAGCACCTCCTCAAGCTTGTCTATAAAAGCCCCATGCATTTCACCACAAAACCAGGGGTCCCACTCGGGAACCCCTCTCTTCTCTGTGCAAAAGAGAGAACTATTCTCTTTTCTCTTTCTTTTGCTTATTAAGCCTTCACTCTTTTTTTTTTTTTTTTTTTTGAGATGGAGTCTGGCTCTGTCATTCAGGCTGGAGTGCAGTGGCACGATTTCGGCTCACTTCAACCTCCGCCTCCCAGGTGCAAGCAATTCTCCTGCCTCAGCCTCCCAAGTAGCTGGGATGACAGGCACCCACCACTGCGCCCAGCTAATTTTTATATTTTTAGTAGAGATGGGGTTTCACCGTGTTGGTCAGGCTGGTTTCGAACTCCTGATCTCAGGTGATCCGCCCCCCACTCGGTCTCCCAAAGTCCTGAGATTACAGGCGTGAGCCACTGCGCCCGGCCCAGTCTCTTTCACTATGTAAGGACACAGCAAGAAGGTGCCAGCTATGAACCAGGAAAAAAGCCCTCAGCAGACACTGAATCTACCAGTGCTTTGGTCTTGGACTTCCAGCCTCCAGAACCATGAGAAATAACTATGTGTTGTCTGTAAGCTGCCAGGTCTTTGGTATGTTGATAGCAGCCTGGATGGACTAAGACACTCTCTCCTTCCCTCTCATGCCCTGGACCCTCATCAGGGCCAGAAGTGGTTGGGGTGATGGCCCAAGCAGACTTTAAAAAGCACTGGCCTAGCACAAGGGTTGGCACGCTAGAGCCCACAGCTTGTTTTTGCAAATAAAATTTTTTGTTTTTAAAACAACTTTCTGGGCTGGGCACGGTGGCTCACGCCTGTAATCCCAGCACTATGGGAAGCCGAGGCAGGCGGATGACTTGAGGTCAGGAGCTCAAGACCAGCCTGGCCAACATGGTGAAACCCCATCTCTACTAAAAATACAAAAAAATTAGCCTGGTGTGATGGCAGAAGCTTGTAATCCCAGCTACTCAGGAGGCTGAGACAGGAGAATCATTTGAACCTGCGGGGAGAGGTTGCAGCGAGCTGAGATCACGCCACTGCACTCTGGCGCCTGGGCGACAGAGCAAGACTCCATCAAAAAAAAAAAAACTTTCTATAGATACATAATATTTATGCATATTTATGACATACATGTGATAGTTTGATACATGCACAGAATGTATAATACTCAAATTAGGGTATTTAGGATATTCACCACCTCAAACATTTATCTTTTTTTTTATCTTTTCGAGACAGAGTCTCTCTCTGTCGCCCAGGCTGGAGTACAGTGGTGTGATCTTGGCTCACTGCAACCTCTGCCTCCCGAGTTCAAGCAATTCTTCTGCCTCAGCCTCCCAAGTGGCTGGGATTACAGGTGTGCGCCACCACACCCAGCTAATTTTTGTATTTTTAGTGGAGATGGGGTTTCACCTTGTTGGCCAGGCTGGTCTTGAACTCCTGACCTCAGGTGATCCACCCATCTTGGCCTCTCAAAGTGTTGGGATTACAGGAGTGAGCCACTGCACCTGGCTCATTTATCGTTTGTGTTGGGAATGTTTCAAATCTTCTCTTCTAGCTATTTTGAAATATACAATATATTGCTGTTAACTATAGTCACCCTTCTGTGCTATTGAACACTTGAACTTATTCCTTCTATCCAACTGTGTTTGTGCCCATTAACTATCCCACCCCTTCTAGCCTTTGATAACTGACTCTCTCTTTACCTTCATGAGATCTACTTTTTTAGCTCCTACATGAGTGAGAACATGAAGTTGTAAATAAAGTTTTATTCTAACACCGCCACACCTACTTGTTTACATATCAGCGATGGCTGCTTTCATGGTACAACAGCAGAGTGGGGTAGTCTCAGCAGAGATCCTACAGCCCACAAAGCTGGACGTGTTACTCTCTGGTCCTTTTGTTTTCTGCCCTCTGGTCTAGGAGTTTGCAGCTCTGGGCGTTTTTTGTTTTTTTTTTTTTTTTTTTTTGAGATGGAGTCTCACTCCATTGCCCAGGCTGGAATTCAATGGCGCCATCTCAGCTCACTGCAATCTCTGCCTCCTGGGTTCAAGCGATTCTTCTGCCTCAGTCTCCCAAGTAGCGGGGATTACAGGCGCCTGCCACCACGTCCAACTAATTTTTTATTTTTAGTAGAGATGGGATTTCACCATGTTGGTCAGGCTGGTCTTGAACTCTGACCTCAGATGATCCACCCACCTCGGCCTCCCAAAGTGCTGGGATGACAGGCGTGAGCCCGGCCGTTTTCTTTTTTGCTTGTTGTGCTTCCTGGAGATGCTCAGTAATTCTTACATTCTTTCCTGGATAGCTGGTCAATCATTATTTATTATTTCCTTGAATTGTTCTAGGAGGAAATGTGGGGTAGAAAGAGTATGGTGGGGTTCTTGGGCATGAATAATCCATAAATAAGTCAGATTTCTTTTTAAGACGAGAAACTTAATTTTATTGATATGGACGAAGAGCAAGGAAACACAGTATCTGCATCTCCAGATTTCCGATAACCTTGGCCAGCACGATCCCCCCTCCTTTAGTGGCCAGGGCTGTCTTCTTGCTACACTTTCAGTGCCGCATATTCATGAGATCCTGGGGGCTCCTGGGTGGTGTCTGAAGCTGCCTCAGACAGGGCGCTGGTGCTTAGCTCAGCATAGGTCACTCCTTGGGGGTCTGCCGTCTTTGGAGAAAATAGATGAATATTAGAACTGAGTGTTCAATATGGCAGCCACTAGCCACACATGGCTATTGACATTTAAGTTAATTACAATTAAATTTAATTTAAAACCCAGGTCCTCGGTCACACCAGATGCATTTCTTTTTCTTTTCTGTTTTTATAACCCTTTATGCCTGTGACATCAATGGATCTGCGTAAGCCTTTTTTCATTTTTTTTAAATTTTTATTTATTTATTTATTTTGGGACAGAGTCTGGCTCTGTCGCCCAGGCTGGAGTGCGGTGGCGTGATCTCGGCTCACTGCAACCTCCGCCTCCCGGGTTCAAGCCATTCTCCTGGCTCAGCCTCCTGAGTAGCTGGGATTACAGGCGCCCACTACCACGCCCAGCTAATTTTTTGTATCTTTAGTAGAGATGGGGTTTCACCATGTTAACCAGGATGGTCTCGATCTCCTGACCTCATGATCCGCCCGCCTCGGCCTCCCAAAGTGCTGGGATTACAGGCGTGAGCCACCGCGCCCGGCCCATGCATAAGCCTTTTAAATGGAGATTTTGGTTCCCATTAGGGGAGTTTCGTGACTTGTCTAAGACCACATGCGTGATAAACAGTATACATTTCTGTATGGGCTTAACCAGGAGGCACACACGACCAGCCCATTGTGGTGAGGGAGCTCTTGTGGGACTCCTAAGCGGGAGGACTCACCGAGAGAGATACCCTTTCCATATTGGATAAATCTGCCTCTGAGTGAGAAAGGAAAAAAAAAAATCAGTTCTCAGCTGCAGAAGTCAGAACTTAGTCTTTCTATCCGGTGATTCCCTTAAACTTCCCCTGTCCCTTACCGGCAGCCTCCTGCTCCGGAAGTTTGGAATGGCTGGTTCTGAAAGAGAGAGACACACGTGAAAGGATGGGATGTGAAGATTTCGGGGAGAGGGTGAGGGCAATGGAGGGGAGAGGAAGGGAGAAGAAGGGAGAGGAGGAAGGTCACAGAATGGGCTGGGGTGGGGGCTCAGGGTGCCAATCCCGGATGTGCCAATGGGTTCCCTTGAGAATGACATGGGAATAAGTGGAGCATGAGCTATGCCAAGCATCTACCTCTTGGTGGATTCCTCAGATGATGAACCTACAAAAAATGCAGGAGGAATTTACCTACCGAGAAAATCCTTCACTCCCCCTCTCTCCCTTTGCGTTCTCTGAGCTCACTGTGCTGGCTGCATCTGTAGATGATGAAGACTGAGAGGAAGAGGAGAAGGATGGAGATGCAGCTGAAGATGGCGACAAAGATGGTTCTGGTGTCTGGAGGGGGAAGAGCAGGTCAGGGAATCAGCCTGGCTCCTGAAATCCACTGATAGGGGCGAGCCGAAAAGCTAAGAGAAGCCAGACAGATGGCCTGGCTTCCAAGCCTGGATCTCCCACCTCGGAGCTGGAACTTCCTATTGCTTTGGGGAATTTCCTTAATCTTCTCCAAGCTTCTGTTTCCCCATCTGTAAAGTGAGGATAGCAGCAGTAGCTACTTTATTGGATGGTGGGTCAGTACCTATAGAAAGGGCTGGAACAGTGCTTGGCGCATAGGAAATTCCAAAAATTCCCAGGGAATGTTTGGTGCATAGCAATGATATTGATCATTTATTGTGAGCCAGCTCTGTTCCAGGTGCTCCATATATATATATACGTGTGTGTGTGTGTATATATATATATAAATGTATATATATGTGTGTGTATATATAAATGTGTATATATATATATATATATATATATATATATACATATATATATATATATACACACTTTTTTTTTTTTGAGATGGAGTCGTGTTCTGTCACCCAGGCTGGAGTGTGATCCTGGCTCACTGCAACCTCCACCTCCCTGGTTCAAACAATTCTCCTGACTCAGCCTCCTGAGTAGTTGGGATTACAGGCGTGAGCCACCACATCTGTCTGTGTAATCACTGTCTGAAATCCACTGATGGGGTGAGTAGAAAAGCTAAGAGAAGCCAGACAGATGGCCTGGCTTCCAAGCCTGGATCTCCCACCTTGGAGCTGGAACTTCCTTGGAGCTGGACATTTCGACCAATAGACTTTGAGTAAAGCAGATGACCCACTGTCATAGGGGTGGGCCTCATCCAATCAGTTGAAGACTTTAAGACTTTAAGAGAAAAGACTGAGGTCCCCCAAGGTGGAAGGAATTCTGCCTCCAGACTCAAGCTGCAATATCAAGTCTCCCCTGGATCCCCTGCCTGCCTGCCCTGCAGATTTCAGACTTGCCAGCTCCCCACAATCACGTGAACCAATCCATTAAAATCAATCTCTCTCTCCATATATGTATATACATGTATATGTTCTCTTTTTTTTTTTTGAGACAAAGTCTCACTCTTATCGTCCAGGCTGGAGTGCAATAGTGCAATCTTGGCTCACTGCAAGCTCCGCCTCCCGGGTTCAAGCAATTCTCCTGCCTTAGCCTCCTGAGTAGCTGGGATTACAGGTGCCCACCATCACGCCCGGCTAATTTTTGTATTTTTAGTAGAGACGGGGTTTCGCCATGTTGGCCACGCTGGTCTTGAACTACTGACCTCAGGCAATCTGCCTGCCTCGGCCTCCCAAAGTGCTGGGATTACAGGCGTGAGCCACCACACCCAGCTTATATCTATATGTTCTATTGGTTCTGTTTTTCTGGAAAACCCTGGCTAACACAGACATGATCTCAGCTCTTAACTTCAAACATATTTCCTTTTTCTTTTTTTAAAGGAGAGAGAGAGATGTGAAAGGACGGGATGTGAAGATTATGGGGAGAGGGTGAGGGCAATGGAGGGGAGAGGAGGGGAGAGGAGGGAGGTCACAGATGGGAGCTCAGGATGCCAATCCCAGATGTGCCAATGGGTTCCCATTGTTGCCCAGGCTAGAGTGCAGTGGTGTGATCATACTCGAATTCCTGGGCTCAAGTGGTCCTCCTCACTCGGCCTCCAGGGTAGCTGGGAGTACAGACCACCACGCCCAGCCAACTTCAAACACACTTCAATGAGCTCGTTGATGCCAGGTAATGAACAGCAGTGACACGGGCATGGAAGGCGTTTAGAGTGGGGAGGGGTGGGGCTCTCTGAAGGAGACATGATTCCCCAAGACACAGAACAAGGGATCAGCTGGGAGAATTCAGGGAGGATTCCTAATAAGAACAGGGTTAGAGCAGGGTAGAAAAGAATGACCAGTGGCCGGGCACGGTGGCTCACGCCTGTAATCCTGGCACTTTGGGAGAGTGAAGTAGGTGGATCACTTGAGGTCTGGAGTTCGAGACCAGCCTGGCCAACATGGTGAAACCCTGTCTCTACTGAAAATATAAAAAATAAGCTGGGCATGGTGGCGCACGCCTGTAGTCCCAGCTACTCAGGAGGCTGAGAGAAGAGAATTGCTTGAACCTGGGAGGCGGAGGTTGCAGTGAGCCGAGATCGCATCACTGCATCATACACTCAACTGACCAAGACTCCAACTCAAAAAAGCATCCCTCTCAGGAGATAAAATTTCTACCAATTAAAAAACAAAAACAAAACAAAACAAAAAAAACTAGTTCTTGAGCAATATTGCCATGCAAGTCTACATCATAGCGTTTTAAAGTCTTAACAACAACCCTGCAAGGTAGTACAATTATTTCCCTCCCACTGGTGAAGGGCATGCATTCCCGTGTGACTCCTGGGATTACAGCAAGGGTTGTGTCCAAAGCTCACAGCGTTGAGGAAGAGAGAGCAACCTGTTACTAAAGCTAGGCGACAGAGTCCATGCAGTTCCCCCCCGTTTTTTGTTTTTCTTGGCACTTTAGATTCAAGAAACACAAGTCGTGAGACTTTAAGGAGTAAGTAGCAGAAACGTGATTAAGGAAAAAAGTTGAGCAACTATAGAAGTGAGGCCCCAGAAAGGGGCTTCACCAAGACCCCCGCTATCTTTGTTAGTGTGCTTTGAGTCTGAGAATTTTTCCTAGGTGTGCAATGATCTGTGGTCACATTACAGAGCCAAGTCTGAGATGCTTCACACGCCTGGTCCTCTGCACCAACAGAGGGTCTCCCATCCAGACGCTTCCCCTACTTGGTTCGCTATGTTTGCATTGGCATTTCTACATATCTATATATAGAGAATTACCTATCTAATTTATCTATCTCGCTAATCTATCTACCATCTGTCTAGGTATCTATTATCTATCTACCTATCTATCTTTATCTGTCTCTGTACCTACTTACCTATCATCTATCCAATCTATCCGTCCTATCTAATTATGATTTATCTATCTACCTACTTGCCTATCACCTATCCAATCTATCTATCCTATCATATGTAATTAACTATCTGTCTGTCTAATTTTTCTATCTTGTTAATCTATCACTTATCTAGGCATCTATGTATCTATCTTTATCTGTCTATCCACCTGCTTACCTGCTGTCTGTCTAATCTATCCATCCTATCATATCTAATTATCACTTATCTATCTACCGACTTACCTATCATCTAGTTACCAAATCTATCATCTATCTAATGTATCTATCAATCATAACCAGTTATCTATCATCTATCATCTATCATCTGTATGTATCTGTCTATTCACCTACTATTATCTATTTAATCTATTCTATCTAGTTATCTATCTATCTATCCACCTACTTATCTAATTTTTCTATCTTGCAACTCTATCACCTATCTAGGTATCTATGTATCTATCTGTGTATCTGTATATCTATCTATCTATCTAGCTAGCTTTATCTAGCTACCTAGTTACCTATCATCTATCTATCTAATCTATCATCTATCTAATGTATCTATCAATCATATCTAATTATCTGTCTATCTAATCATCTATCTTATCTATTATATCTAGTTATCTATCATCTAGCTAGCTAGCTAATCTATCTGTATCTATCTACCTACTTACCTATCGTCTATTTATCTATCTAATCTATCATATCTAGTTATCTATCTACTTACTTATCTAACCTGTTGTATCTAGTTATCTATCTACCTACTTACCTATCATCTGTCTATCTATCTAATCTGTCCATCGTATCTAGCTACTTATCTACCTATCATCTATGTATCTATCTAATCTATCATATCTAGTTATCTATTTATCTGCCTACTTGCCTATTATCTATCACATCTAATTATCTATCTATCCCCCTCCCTGAAATAAGGTTCTTTCTGAGCTGATCATCAGGGAGCAGCAAAAGGAGTGGGGAGTTTGAAACAAGACATATTTGAGTTCTAGTACTGGGTCTCCTACCTCCTGACTTTGTAAATGTTCCCTTCCCTTTCTGGAATACGTTATTTTTTGGTTAAATATAAGGAGGGGGCAGAGAGCTAATAATATCTAACTTGAAGAGTTAGGTAATGATGAAAAATCCTGGCTTTAAAGCGCTCAGTCTAGAAACTGACTCATTGTGTCGGATAATGGGATTGTAGGTATAATGATGATTTTTTTTCACCCAATATTCCACCTACACCCATCTCTCTCTGTAATAGATTCTGTCAATGTTCCTCAACCCATGTTCCCCAGATCCCTTTCCCATTTTTATGCATTCTAGATCGTGGCTTCTTTCCCTTTCCAAAGTGAACATTTGTATCTCTTCTTTGGGGGACTGCCTGGGAGAACTCCAAATGCCTTGGAATTTACATGCCCGGGACAAACTGCCACTGACGGCTGTGGGGACCCCAGCTCCCTAGCCTCTGGTCTTCGACCTTCTCTGTCTCCACTGCTTTCTGCAGGATGGAGCCAAAGATACCATCTGAGGGACACAGATATCCCACACTTGTTTAATCTATTTTCCTCCCAGCCCTTCTTCCCCACTCCCTAAAATGTAATTTTCAAGCCAGGCGTGGTGGCTCACACCTGTAATCCCAGCACTTTGGGAGGTCGAGGCAGGCAGAGCACCTGAGGTCAGGAGTTCGAGACCAGCCTGACCAACATGGAGAAACCCCGTCTCTACTAAAAATAGAATATTAGCTGGGTGTGGTGGTGCATGCCTGTAATCCCAGCTATTTGGGAGGCTGAGGCAGGAGAATCTCTTGAACCTGGTAGGCGGAGGTTGCAGTGAGCCAAGATCACGCCATTGCACTCCAGCCTGGGCAACAAGAGCGAAACTCTGTCTCAAAACTAAATAAATAATAAATAAAATAAAACGTCACTTTCACACTAATGCTGTCTAAGAGCCTGCTTCTGGTGGAGCTGAATCAGAGAACCCCTCAAAAGCAACAATTTTTTTTTTTTTGAGACAGTCTCACTCTGTCTCCCAGGCTGGAGTGCAGTGGTACAATCTCGGCTTTGGAACCTCCCCCTCTGGGGTTCAAGCAATTCTCCTGCCTCAGCCTCCCAAGGAGCTGGGATTACAAGCACCCGCCACCTCACCCCGCTAATTTTTTATATTTCTAGTAGAGATGAGGTTTCACCATGTTGGTTAGGCTGGTCTCAAACTCCAGAGCTCAAGTGTTCTGCCCACTTTGGCCTCCCAAAGTGCTGGGATTACATAAGCCACCATGCCTGGCCATAAGCAACAATTCTATCAGTGCATCTCCAAGGACTTATGAAAACAGGGCAGGAACAGCTGCTCCTGGACTCTCAGTTTCCCCAGATGGAAGCAGAGAAACAGCAGCCTTGCCTTGTCCTTTCTGTTCTCCCCTTTTCCAGCCTACGGTATCTTTCACACAGCAATTCACTAGAAATGAGAAGTACATTATTGCAAAATTCTCATCTTCATATGACCCCATAATCAGCTGAACTGGGTTCACCCTGAGATGTCCACAGATCCTGGCCAAATGTTGCATCAGTATTTGCAAATTGCCAGAATAAATCATAACTTGCTACGCTACTAAAGTCAGCGTGAGCAACAAGATACAGCCTGACACGGGGCATAAATGGAGGCACAGGCACCAGAAAGAAAGTCAAGTCTTGTGTGATAAAATTCATCTTCATTCTCTACATTGCGATTGAACATAGAGTCGTTTTCTAGTGTGTTTTAGGCATATAAATACAGGCTGGGGACATCATACCTGTGCTTACAGATATTTTACTTTTATTTTATTTATTTACTGAAACAGGGTCTCGCTCTGTCACCCAGGCTGGAGTGCTGTGGCGCAATCACAGTTCACTGAAGCCTCAACCTCCTGGGCGCAAACGATCTTTCTGCCTGAGCCTCCCAAGTAGCTGGGACTACAGGTGCACACCACCACGCCTGGCTAATTTTTGTATTTTTTGTAGAGATGGGATCTTACCAAGTTGTCCAGGCTGGTCTTGAACCCCTGGGCTCAAGTGATCCTCCTGCCTCATCTTCCCAAAGTCCTGGTATTACAGACGTGAGCCACTGCGCCCGGCAAAGATATTTTATTCTGTTTAGAATTGTGATGATACAAATTTGAACTCAAAAAGTACATTTTAAGAAATTATATAATACCCACTGGGATGGCTATAATTTAAAAAAAGAAAAGTAAGTGTTGACAAGGATGTGGAGATATTGGAACCCACATATATTACTGGAAGGAATATAACATGATACAGCCACAATGGAAAATGATTTGGCAGTTCCTCAAAAAGTTGAACATAATAGTCACCATATGTCCTAGCAAATCCACTTCTAGGTACATACTCAAGATAATTTACAGCGCGGAGACAAACAGATACTCCTACCACAGTGTTCCAGCACCATTACTCGCTTTAGCCAAGAGGTGCAGACAACACAAATGTCCATCAAAAGAAGAACGGGGCCAGGCACAGTAGCTCAAGTCTGTAATCCCAGCACTTTGGGAAGCTGAGGCGTGTGGATCACCTGAGGTCAGGAGTTCGAGACCAGCCTAGCCAACATGGTGAAACCCCCTCTCTACTAAAAATACACAAATTAGCTAGGCATGGTGACGGGCGCCTGTAGGTCCAGCTACTCAGGAGGTTAAGGCAAAAGAATCACTTAAACCTGGGAGGCGGAGGTTGCAGTGAGCTGAGATTGTGCCACTGCACTCCAGCCTGGGCGACAGAGCAAGACTCCGTCTCAAAAAAACAAAAACAAAAACAAAAAAAAGAATGGATAAGCAAAATGTGGTCTATCCATACAATACGATGCTTTTCACCATGACAAGAAATGAAACATTGATGCATGCTACAGTACAGACAAACTTTGAAAACATTATGCTAAAGAGAAAGGAGCTAGTCACAAAGGATCACATAGTGTATGAATCCACTTACACAAAATGTCCAGAATAGACAAAATCATAGACACAGAGAAGCATATGAATGGTTGGAAGGGCCTGGTGGGAAAGTGGGAAATGAGGAGTGACTGCTTAATGGGTACAAGATTTTCTTTTAGGGTGATGAGAATGTTCTGGAATTATGTAGTGGTGATGGTTATACTACCTCATGAAGATACAAAATGCCAGTGAATTGGACACTTTACAAGGGTGAATTTTTGGACTGTGAATTATATATCAATAAAAAAAGAAAGAAAATAAATGATACAAGAGCTCAAAATAGAAAAGCTTCTCTTCCTCCTCCCCCTCACACCTCACTAGATCTCCCACCTCGTTTCTGATACTTCTGTGTTCCTCTCTCCCATTAGATTTCATATCTTTCTCAGAAAACGTTCCTGACGTGAATTGTGTTCGTAGTGCTAGGGTAGCAGACATTTCCCAAGCCTACTATCATGGAATAAAAACGTTTCAAATAGTTATCTTGCAAGAACACTTTGGAGGATACCTTTTTGAAAACCGATTATACCAGCACAGACTGCTAGCAACAACCTTCAGCAACTTTGGCTCTTTGGAGTAGGTTGCAGGAAGATTATGACTTGCTGAAAGGAAGGATGATTAAGCATCTAGATGCCAATTTATATTCTGCATTTGGCCCTTAAAGTCTGGATGAGTTCCTGTTTCAGCCGAATGCTGCCAAAAGCTCTAACTTTTTAATTTTTTTTTTTTTTTTTTTTTTTTGGAGACAGAGTCTCACTCTGTTGCCCAGGCTGGAGGGCAGTGGTGTAATCTCGGCTCACTGCAACCTCTGCCTCCCAGGTTCAAGCAATTCTCCTGCCTCAGTCACTTGAGTAGCTGGGAATACAGGCGCCCACCACAATGCCCAGCAAATTTTTGTATTTTTAGTAGAGACAGGGTTTCACCATGTTGCCCAGGCTGGTTTCGAACTCCTGACCTCAGGTGATCCGCCCACCTCGGCCTCCCAAAGTGCTGGGATTACAGATGTGAGCCACCTCGCCTGGCCCAAAAGCTCTAATTTTTATGAGAAACTCTGAGGACAGAATCTTAGTCAATTGTTAATGAATAAGCAACATTAGAAAAAAAATTCAATATTCACCTATTTTTGAGAATTTTAGAGTTATAACAAACTCTTGATTATATATATTCCTGAAGTACCTACTCTGCGTAGGTCCTGGTCCTACTCCCCAAATGGGTCACTGAAAAATTCACCCCCATTATTCCCCAAATCCCACCCTAGTTTTTCATCATGTCATATGGCAAACAACGCACTCTGTGCTGTTTTACACACCAGCTTCTTCAGAACCCGGAAGCACTTTAGAGGTTATCTCCCCTCATCCTCCACCCCCCAAAACACAGCAGTTTCCCCAATAACATTGAGAAAATGGGCTTTAAAGTTCTTCTAGGCCGGGTGCGGTGGCTCATGCCTGTAATCCCAACACTTTGAGAGGCCGAGGCGGGGGAATTGCTTGAGGTCAGGAGTTTGATACCAGCCTGGCCAACATGGTGAAACCCCATCTCTACTAAAAACAAAAAACAAAAAACAAAACTGAGCTGGATATGGTGGTGGGTGCCTGTAATCCCAGCTATTCGGGAGGCCGAGGCAGGAGAATTGCTTGAACCCAGAACCCAGGAAGTGGAGGTTGCAGTGAGCTGAGATTGTGCCACTTCACGCCACCCTGGGGGACAGAACAAGACTCTTTCTCAAAAAAATAAATAGGCCGTGTGCGGTGGCTCACGCCTGTAATCCCAGCACTTTGGGAGGCTGAGGCGGGCAGATCACAAGGTCAGGAGTTCGAGACCAGCCTGGCCAACATGGTGAAACCCCGTCTCTACTAAAAATACAAAAATTAGCTGGGTGTGGTGGTGCGTGCCTGTAGTCCCAGCTATTCGGGAGGCTGAGGCAGGAAAATTGCTTGAATCCGGGAGGCGAAGGTTGCAGTGAGCTGAGATTGCGCCACTGTACTCCAGCCTTGGTGACAAAGCGAGACTCTATCTCAAAAAACAAACAAACAAACAAACAAACAAATAAATAAAGTTCTCCTTGTGCACTTTAAGCAAAGGTGATCATGAAGCAGATCTCATTGGGAAAAACATCTCCTTTCTAATTATCTTACCTGTTTTCATTGAGGGAGCTTCAAGTTCATCGTGTTTATCTAGAAAATAGGAGGGAAGAAAAGGAATTACACTAATCATACAGGAACCTTGGGGACAGGAGTCCTCACGTCCTACTTATAGACATCCTGTTCTTCTTTGGGAAGCAGAAAAGAGAATGGCTTCTCCATTCCCTAGATGCTCCCTGGGTCCTCAGAGCATGGACAGAGCCTCAGATTACTCTTCTTAATAGTCCTGGAGTTTGATAGTATTTTTAATAACAAAAATATTTATGAATGACCCTGCTAACGCCCCCTCCAGTTTGATTCCTTGCCAGTCTTCTCTATCTTGACAAAGAACACCATTCACCCAAATTCTTTCTTTCTTTTATTTTTTTTGAGTCTTGCACTGTTACCCAAGCTGGAGTGCAGTGGCATGATCTCAGCTCACTGCAACCTCCGCCTCCCGGGTTCAAGAGATTCTCCTGCCTCAGCCTTCCAAGTAGCTGGGACTACAGGCGCCCGCCACCACACCCTGCTAATTTTTGTATTTTTAGTAGAGACAGGGTTTCACCATGTTGGCCAGGCTGGTCTCAAACTCCTGGCCTCAAGTGATCAACCTGCCTTGGCCACTCAGAATACTGGGATTCCAGGCATGAGCCACTGCACCTGGCCTATATTTCTATCTCCACAGTGGCACCATTTAGTCTAAGTTAAAATATCACCTACTTGGCCGGGCGCAGTGGCTCACGCCTGTAATCCCAGCACTTTGGGAGGCCGAGGCGGGCAGATCACAAGGTCAGGAGATCGAGACCATCCTGGCTAACATGGTGAAACCCCGTCTCTACTAAAAATACAAAAAGTTAGCCGAGCGTGGTGGCGGGCCCCTGTAGTCCCAGCTACTCGGGAGGCTGAGGCAGGAGAATGGCGTGAACCCGGGAGGCGGAGCTTGCAGTGAGCCGAGATCGCGCCACTGCACTCCAGCCTGAGGGACAGAGCCAGACTCCGTCTCAAAAAAAAAATAAAAATAAAAATAAAAATGAAATGAAATATCACCTACTCACCAGTCCCTGGCAACCACCAGTTGCTTCTGTGAGTTTGGCTTTTTTAGACTACACATATGAGTGAGATCCTGCAGAATTTGTCTTTCTGAGTCTGGCTTATTTTGTTTAGCATGATATATGCGGAGATGTTGATGAAAGGGTATAAGTTTCCAGTTCTAAGATGAAGAAGTTCAGGTGCTCAGCATGGTGGCAATGGATGTGCTAATTAATTTGACTGTGATAATCATTACACAATGTACAGGTGGATCAAATCATCAGATTGTATACCTTGAATATATACAATCTTCATTTGTCAATTTGATATTTTTAAATTTAAAAAGTCGTATTGCCTGAAACGCACCAACTCTTACTACATCTAGTCCCTTATTTTCCAAAAGCAGCCAGAGGCCGGGCATGATGGCCTGTGCCTGTAATCTCAGATGCTTGGGAGGCTGAGGTGGGAGGATTACCTGGGCCTGGGAGGTCAAGGCTGCAGTGAGCTGTGATTGCACCACTGCACTCCAGCCTGGGCAACCGAGTGGGACCCTGTCTCAAAAAAAAAAAAAAAAAAAAAAGCAGCCAGTGACCCTTCCAGCATATAAATAAAATCATGCCATCCTCCAGCTCAACTTCATCAGTGGGTTCCTGTTCTTTCAAAGCAGACTCTAGGACCAGTTCAAACACCCACAAGATCCTAGATGCTCTAGGCCCTGCCTTATGTCCTCCTTTCTGTGTCTCAATCATTCCAGGAACACTCACACTTCTGAGACTTTGCTTTTGCTGCTCTCTCTCCCTGGAGGGCTGTTCTCCAGATATCGGTGTGGTTGGGTCATTCTCATCCTTCATGCTTGTGGCAGATAGACCCTAAGGGGGCACTCAGGAGACTCAGGAGCCCTGCTTCCTGGTGTTCATGCCTTTGTCTAATCCCCTCACCTTGAGTGTGGAGATCTGTGACTTTCTTCTCACCAATAGCTATGGCAAAGGTGATGGGATGTTATGCTCTTGATTATGTTACATTACATAAAACTCTGTTTGCTAGGGCATTTGCTCTCTCTTTCTTCTCTCTCTCTCAATCTCTCTTCTTGCAAGTGCTGCAGAATCATTCTAGCATGAATCCTACAGCTATAAAGAACCAGATATTGCTATCAACCACAGGAGTGGAGAAATGGACCCTTCCCCAGTCAAGCCTCCAGATGAGCCAGATGAGAACACAGCCCTTGTTGACACCTTGATTGCATCCTTATGAGACCCAAAGCAGAGGACTCAGCTAAGCTGTGCCTGGACTCCTGACCCACATCAACTGTGAGATAATAAATAGGTGTTTCAGGCTGCTAAATTAGTGGTAATTTGTTATGCAGCTGTAGATCACTAATACAATGCCTCTCACAGTTATTCTCCATCTATAATGTGTTTTTTAATTACTCTGATAGCTTGCTCTTATTTCTTTCTTTCTTCCAAAGAAGAATGTGAGCTCCTGTTGGCCAGAGACCTGGTCTGTCTCAGTTCCTACAATATGCTCAGGATCTACCAAAGTATCTGAATTTGTAGGGTGAATGGGCAGCTATTTTTGTGCCAGGTATTTTGCATTAATTTTTTTTTGTAATGGAAGCATTTATATGCCCATTTTGTAATAAGTAAAAAGTAGTATAATAAAAAAGTAAAAAGTAGTATAATAAAGTGATTTGCAAAGCAGCAAACAGATTGTATATGGAAGGCTGACCTGGAAAATCAACCACTGGAAATTGATACTATAGCCTGTCTTGTGATGTAATGGTACAGCTGCGATAGAGGTGAAGAAATCAGGAAACAGTAGATGATATGCCAGAGAACATAATTGGGAAATGGCAAATAATCGCGAGGCTTTTAGGGCTAAAGTGTGGGTGCAGAAATTCTTAAGACTACAAGAACGAGTTATGGGGAATACAATTTGAAATCAATATCAAAGTGATGAGCACCTTGTTGGAGTATCATTGATCAAGAGCCTCAGAAAGAGGGTAAATCAGAGGTGAAACATTAAGTATTCAGTTACTCATCATGCCCCAAGCCCAGGCTAAGTCATTGGTGTGGACCCACGGCTACTTCTACACTACACTGATGACTGTAAAGTCTCTCCAGGGATTTCCCATGATATGGCAGGACTGACCTACTGGAAGCAACTGTGGTCAGTTGAGAGGTATTGTTTAGTGACTAATAAATGAATGGATGAATGGATGGATGGATGGATGGATGGATGGATAGATGGATAGGTGGGTGGGGGTGAGTGAATGGGTGAAAGGGTGGATGAGTGGATGAATGGGTGGAAGGATGGACAAATGAGTGGCTGGGTAAATAGATGGGTAGGTAGGTAGATAGATGGATGAAGGGGTGGGTGGACAGATGAATGGAAGGGTTGGTGGTTGGATGGATTAATGGATAGATGAATGGATGGATGGATGGATGGATGGATGGATGGATGAGTTGATGGATAGATGGATAAGTGAGTGGATGGATGGGTGAATGAGTGGGTAGGAGGGTGGATGGGTTGGTAGGTGGGTAGATGGGTGGGTGGGTTGATAGATGGGTGGGTAGATTGATAGATGGATGGGTGAGTAGATAAATGGGTAGATGAAAGTGATGCAAAATTATTCTTTATCCCTCTTCCTTGGGATCTCAAGTCATGTATGTTACAATCCTCCCACGTGCATCTTCTCACTGTGGTCCTCATCATTTTTTTTTCAGTTACCTGCACCGTGCCTCCCATACTTTTCCACACAATGGGATCTCTTAGCCCCACAATCCATTATTTGCCATTCCTACATCCCTCATAGAGCACTGGACACTCTTTCTGGCTTTCCTTCTCTGGCATAATGAAATATAAATTTTCATTTATGTCTGAATAGCAACTGTGAAGCTCATTGTTTTTGTGACACCGGGGAGGTCACCTAATCTCTATGAGCAAAAAGAAGTTAGTAACACAACCACCCTCATAGGAAGTGAAGACTGAATGAGTTAGTGGAGGCAAGTTACCTGTCGTGGAGACAGGAACATAGAAAATGCTGGATACATGTCAAATGCCAGTGTTATCACTCTATCCTCACCTGTCACCCAGATCTCCAGCTTGTTGCTGGGGAAGGAGGCCAAGTGTGATGAGTTGCTCAGGTAATACACACAGCTGTAGTTTCCACTGTCATTACTTGTCACGTTCCAGAGCATGAAATCAGTCTGGTTTTTTCTTACTTGCCTGACTTGTAATGGTTCTGGGATCCCCATTTTCAACAGAGCAATTACAATACATTCGGTTCCATTGTATGGAGTGAGACATCGAAGTGTCCTGAGACCTGGAGTCATCCCAGGGTCTACATTGACTGAGAGCAAAGGTTCTGGGAGTGATCCTGAAGAGGACAAGGCAATGGAGGTAAAGAGAAGGGCCAGGGCTTTTCCATTTTCTACTGCACTTGGGGACTATCTCATCCATCTCTCCGTATTAACCATGTCTTTCATCTTCTGCATTTGATGCTTTAACATCTTGGGGCCTTGCTGCCCTTGGTGGGACCTCCCCTCGCAGGGTTAGTTAATTTCTAGAGCCAGTAAACAACTTGTCCTCAAGGATGTCCCTCAAATGCAAGCCAATAGATCCAGAGCCCATACTCTCAACCACCTTAATTATGGGGCTCTCACACTCAAGGTCAATGTTGTCCTCTCCTAATCACCCCAGGTCCAAGAACTAGACAACCAGGGACAGCCTCTACACCCCAAAGCCAATTCTTTTTTTGTTTTTCTTTTCTTTCTTTCTTTTCTTTTCTTTTCTTTTTTTTTTTTTTTTTTTTTTTTTGAGACAGGTTCTCATTCTATCACCCAGGCTTGAGTGCAGTGGCACGATCTTGGCTCACCGCAGCCTCTGCCTCTGGGGTTCAAGCAATTCTCGTGCCTCAGCCTCCCGAGTAGCTGAAAGCACAGGTGCACACCACCACACCCAGGTAATTATTGTATTTTTGTAGAGATGGAGTTTCGCCATGTTACCCAGGCTGATGTCAAACTCCTGACCTCAGGTGATCCACCCTCCTAGGCCTCCCAAAGTGCTAGGATTACAGGCATGAACCACCACACCTGGCCAACTCTAATCTTGTTCTCCCCACAAAATACAATCAAAGCTCTGGTCCACAGTTCTTCCTCCTCCCTCTGCCCCTCATTGACCCTGGTGCTTCCCCACATACTCCCCCCAGTATAGCCTTCCTCCTCCTCTTGGGAACTGTAACAGACCATCTTTTCCATGGCAATCATCACTTGGTCTGTCAGTCTTACCATACCCCAATTTTCTATTAACTGACCATATTCTACACCACCCTCCCACATCCACATCATTGGGACCCTCTCAGAATCTCTGATGAGAATCTTGCTCCACATTCGGTTCCCATTTCCACATTGAAGGTGTTGCATCTATCCTTCTTCTTCTTTTTTTTTTTTAGACGGAGTCTTGCTCTTTCATCCAGGCTGCAGTGCAGTGGCACAATCTCAGCTCATTACAACCTCTGCCTTCTGGGCTCAAGAGATTCTCTTCCTGCCTCAGCCTCCCTAGTAGCTGGGATTACAGGCGCCTGCCACCACGCCCAGCTAATTTTTGTATTTTAAGTAGAGGTGAGGTTTCACCATGTTGGCCAGGCTGGTCTCGAACTCCCGACCTCAAGTGATCTGCCCACCTCTGCCTCCCAAAGTGCTGGGATTACAGGCATGAGCCACCGCGCCGTGCCTGGCCTGCATCTATCTTTTTGTCTCCTAGATTCCTTCTTCCCCAGCCATGTCCCACGACAGGAAAAGAAATACGTGCATCAGGCAGGCTTTGGTGACTCACGCCTGTAATCCCAGCACTTTGGGAGGCCAAGGCAGGAGGATCACCTGAGCTCAGGAGTTCAAGACCAGCCTGGGCAACATAGATCCTGTCTCAACAAGTAATTTAAAAATTAGCCAGGCATGGTGGTGCTTGCCTGTACTCCCAGCTACTTGGGAGGCTGATGTGGGAAAATCGCTTGAGCCTGGGAGGTCGAGGCTGCAGTGAATTGTGTTCATGCCACTGCACTCCTGCCTGGGTGACAGAGCGAGATTCTGTCAAAAAAAAAAAAAGCAGCCGAGCGCAGTGGCTCACTCCTGTAATCTCAGCACTTTGGGAGGCTGAGGTGGGCAGATCACTTGAGGTCAGCAGTTCGAGATCAGCCTGGCCAACATGGTAAAACCCTGTCTCTACTAAAATACAAAAATTAGCCAGGTGTGGTGGCGCACCCCTGTAGTTCCAGCTACTCGGGAGGCTGAGGCAGGTGAATTGCATGAACCCAGGAGGCGGGGGTTGCAGTGAGCTGAGATCATGCCACTGTACTCCAGCCTGGGCAACAGAGCAAGACTCCCTCTCAAAAAAAAAAAAAAGGCTGGGTGTGGAGGTTCACGTTTATAATCCCAGCCCTTTGGGAGGCCGAGGCAGATGGATCACTTGAGGTCAGGAGTTTGAGATCAACCTCACCAATATGGTACAACCTCATCTTTATTAAAAATACAAAAATTAGGCCGGGCGCGGTGGCTCATGCCTGTAATCCCAGCACTTTGGGAGGCGGAGGCAGGTGGATCACAAGGTCAGGAGATGGAGACCATCCTGGCTAACATGGCGAAACCCCATCTCTACTAAAAACACAAACAATTAGCTGGGCGTGGTGGCGGGCGCCTGTAGTCCCAGCTACTCGGGAGGCTGAGGAGGGAGAATTGCTTGAACCCAGGAGGCAGAAGTTGCAGTGAGCCGAGATCGTGCCACTGCACTCCAGCCTGGGAGACACAGCAAGACTCTGTCTTAAAAAAAAAAAAGCAAAGCCAAACCAAAGAAATGTGTGCATCAAAGAGTACATCTGCCCTTCTCACCTGTGACCACCAGCTGCAAGTGTTCACTGCTTTCTGACCACTCATGGGAGGCTGTTGTCTTGTAGGCACAAAAGTACCTCCCAGCATCCTTAGGCTTCAGGTCCGTGAAGGGGAATTCAGCTTCGTTTTCTGCCGAGCTCTGTTCCTGCTTGTACCCAGAGTCGTTCACCTTGCGCAGCACAAATGTCACATTCTGGGAATGAGCCTGACACTTCAGGGTCACATTGCTCTCGGCTTCAACCACCGAGCTGGGCCAGGCGTGGAGGGAGGGCTTGGGCGGTTTCTCTGGAAACAATTCAGAGTTAATTTGAGTCTAGAATTCAGACGATTAAAGGAAAAGGTCATGAAGCGTGGGATGCAGGAATAAAAGTTTAAGTAGGAGAAAACTCACCATTCTTTTTCTCATCTTCGTAGCCCAGACACAGCCCTGGAAGAGAAATCTCAATGAGAGAAAAATTATGTGCTTGTCCTTGAGTACAAATCCAGCAGAGAACGTATGACTAGCTCTTTATAGGTCTGAGATATATATATATATATAATGTATATATGTATTATATATAATAAATGTATTAAGTATATGTACACATATTACATATAATACATATATAAATATAATATATATATTAAATATATGTATTACATATATGTATATATTTTTGGCAGATATCTCCCCAGACTTACCTCTTACTTTTGTTCCATTGTTTGTCATTCAGAAGCTACGTGTATGGAGAAAATTCCAGCAACTTCTTCTTTCTTTTTTTTTTTTTTTTTTTGAAATGTAGTCTTGCTCTGTTGCACAGGCTGGAGTGCAATGACATGATCTCAGTTCACTGCAACCTCCGCCTCCCAGGTTCAAGCAATTTTCCTGCCTCAGCCTCCCGAGTAGCTGGGACTACAGGCACCCGCCACCACACCTGGCTAATTTTTGCATTTTTAGTAGAGACAGGGTCTCACCATGTTGGCCAGGCTGGTCTTGAACTCCTGACCTCAGGTGATCCACACGCCTCGGCCTCCCAAAGTGCTGGGATTACAGGCGTGAGCCACTGCCCCCGGCCCAGCAACCTTTTCTGATGTATTGAATTGCTTTCATGAGTAATCCTTTCACCATCTAGAAATTGTTCAACATTCACCTATGCTTTTTTCTGGTATTTTCTGTGATTGCAGTGTTTTGTTTTGTTTTGAGACAGAGTCTCGCTGTGTCACCCAGGCTGGAGTGCAGTGGTGCAGTCTCAGCTCACTGCAACCTCCTCCACCCCCTGGGTTCAAGTGATACTCGTACCTCAGGCTCCAGAGTAGCTGGGACTACAGGTGTGTGCCATCGTGCCCAGCTAATTTTTGTTGTTGTTGTTGTAGAGATGGGGTTTCACCATGTTGCCCAGGCTGGTCTCAAACTCCTGAGCTCAAGTGATCCACCCGCCTCAGCCTCCCAAAGCGCTGGGATTACAGGCATGAGCCACCGTGCCCGGCCTGATTGCAGTTTTACCCTTGCCACTTAAATAATGCAAAGGTTATTTTATCGTGGAGTGAGAGTGGTGGGTTTTTTTTTTTTTTTTATTTTTCGAGATGGAGTCTCGCTCTGTCACCCAGGCTGGAGTGCAGTGGCGCGATCTCGGCTCACCGCAAGCTCTGCCTCCCGGGTTCACGCCATTCTCCTGCCTCGGCCTCCCGAGTAGCTGGGACTACAGGCACCCGCCACCAAGCCCAGCTAATTAATTTTTTTGTATTTTTAGTAGAGACGGGGTTTCACTGTGTTAGCCAGGATGGTCTTGATCTCCTGACCTCGTGATCCACCCGCCTCGGACTCCCAAAGTGCTGGGATTACAGGCATCAGCCACCGCGCCCGGCCGAGAGGAGGGTTTTCTTGCTCAATTCCAATAGAGAGAATCTGCTCCCCCTTCCCCGTGTCTTCTGGTCCCAAATACTCTCCTCACTTTAGCTTTGGTTTCCACTTACATTATCCCCTCCCTCTTCTGTGTTCTGTTCTCTACATTCCCCGCTGGGAAGGTAGCGTCTTAAACTTGGGTGGAAAATGGGATGTCAGTCATGGGGCTTGTTTCAGGGTGAAGTTACGTAGAATTTAGGTAGAAATTCTCTAGAGCCACGACAGTGTCTCAGGACATTGGTTCCTTGTTGACACAGGTGCCGATACAGAACGTGACCCCCCACCAAGCTTCACCACAGAGGAATGAGGTGGAGGCCTCACGATGGACCGAAGCTGCGTTGGCAGCGAGATTAGCTGGGATTGGCAGGTAGGAAACAGCCTCTGGGTGGGCAGGGCATCCCAGGACTCAGGCTCTGTTTTGAGACCCTCCCCAAATCCCGCTTTTAGATTCATGTCATCTCATCTCTGCTATCCACCCATCGTCTGTTCAAACAGTGATTCCTATATTCTTTTTTCTTTTTGAGACAGGGTCTCACTCTGTGGCCCAGGCTGGAGTGCCAGGGTGCAGTCACAGCTCACTGCAGCCTCAACCTCCTGGGCTCAAGTGATCCATCCATCTCAGCCTCCCAAATAACTGGGACTACAGGCATGCACCACCACGCTGGCTGATTTTAAAATTTTTTTGTAGAGATGAGGACTCACGATGTTGCCCAGGCTGGTCTCGAACACCTGAGTTCAAGTGATTCTCCCACCTTGGCCTCCCAACATGCTGGGATTACAGGTGTGAGCTACCTGCACCCAGCCCAATTCCCATATTCTTTTTCTTTTCTTTTTTTTTTTTTTTTTTTGACATGGAGTCTCCCTCTGTCACCCAGGCTGGAGGGCAGCGGTGCTATCTTAGCTCACTGCAACCTCTGCCTCCCAGGTTCAAGCGATTTTCCTGCCTCAGCCTCCCGAGTAGCTGGGATTACAGGTCCTTGCCACCATGCCCAGCTAATTTTTGTATTTTTAGTAGAGACGGGGTTTCACCATGTTGGCCAGTCTGGTCTCAAACTCCTGACCTCAAGAGATCTGCCCGCCTGGGCCTCCCAAAGTCCTGAGATTACAGGCGTGAGCCACCACACCTGGCTGATTTGTGTTTCTTGAAAAGAGAAGTTCAAGTTGTAACTCCCAGGACCTGCGAATGTGACCTTATTTGAAAATAGCATTGTCTGATCTTTGCAGATGTAATTAATTAAACTAAGATGAGGTCATACTAGAGTAGGCTGGGTATCTAATCCAATATAACTTACAAGAAGAGAAAAAGAGAGACAGAGACACACAGAAGGAAGACGGCCATGCGAAGACAGAGGCAGAGAGGCCAGGCTGCAATCATAGTGCTTTGGGATGCCAAGATAGGAGAATTGCTTGAGCCCAGGAGTTGGAGACTAGCCTGGGCAATATAGCAAGATCCCATCTCTAAAACAGAAATTATTTTAATTAGTCCAACATGGTGGTGTGCACCTGTAGTCCTAGCTGCTCAGAAGGCTGCGGGGAGGACTGCTTGAGCTCAGGAGGTTGAGGCTGCAGTGAGCTATGGTGGTACCACTGCACTCCGGCCTGGGCAACTGAGTGAGACCCTGTCTAAAGAAAAGAAAAAAAAAAACAGAGCCAACGATTGGAGTGATGCATCTACAAGTTAAAGAATGCCGGGAGCGCTGGCTCACGCCTGTAATCTCAACAGTTTGGGAGGCTGAGGCGGGCAGATCACCTGAGGTCAGGAGTTCGAGGCCAGCCTGGCCAACGTGGTGAAACCCTGTCTCTACTAAAAATACAAAAATTAGCCAGGCATGGTGGTCCATGCTTGTAATCCCAGCTACTTGGGAGGCTAAGGCAGGAGAATTGATTGAACCCAGGAGGTGGAGGTTGCAGTGAGAAAGATCATGCCACTGCACTCTAGCCTGGGTGACAGAGCAAGACTCCGCCTCAAGAAAAAAAAAAAATGCCAAGAATTGTCAGCCATCACTAGAAGAGGGGCATAAAACAGACGCTCCTTCATAGTTCTCAGAAGGAATCAACATTGCAAACACCTTGGTTTCAGACTTCTCATCTCCCCAACTTAAAGCAATTCTAATTCCTTTAAGCCACCAGGCTTGTAGTACTTTGGTATGGCAGCCATTGGGGGATGAGGTCAGTCTCCTGGTTGCCCAGCTTACTGTGCTCAGCAGCTGGAGGCTTGGGTATGAACCCGATAGTCATCTCTAAGGCACAAATAGCCGGGTGCAGTGGCTCACACCTGTAATCCCAGCACTTTAGGAGGTTGAAGTGGGTAGATCACCTGAGTTCAGGAGTTTGAGACCAGCCTGGCCAACATGGTGAAACCCCATCTCTACTAAAAACACAAAAAATTAGCCAGGCGTGGTGGCGTGTGCCTATAATCCCAGCTTCTCGGGAGGCGGAGGCAGGAGAATCGCTTGAACCCAGGAGGTGGAGGTTGCAGTGAGCTGAGATCACACCACTGCACTCCAGCCTGGGAGACAAAGCAAGACTCTGTCAAAAAAAAAAAAAAATGCTCATCTAAGGTGCAAATGTGTGTAGGAGACGAGCATTACCCCACAAGGAAGGGCTGCACCCAGAAAAGGAGGAAGGAACTGAAGCAGACGAAGCACGTCGATGTCCACCGCACCCCCCGTGCACCAGGGAGGAACTGGGGCCTTAGGGAGGTGGAGCTCTGCTGGGTCAAGCCTAGAGTTTCTATGTAGTAAAGCCGAGATTATAACCCAGGTCATCCGTTTCACAGTGTGAGCTCTGTCTGAATACATCAGGTTCAATTGGAGGATGGTTAAAATCAGCCTAAGAATCGAGCTGGTCAGAAAATTGTCTTCTTGGGGCCAGGTGTGGTGGCTCACGCCTGTAATCCCAGCACTTTGGGAGGCTGAGGCGGGCGGATCACCTGAGGTCAGGGGCTCGAGACCAGCCTGACCAACATGGTGAAACCCCGTCTCTACTTAAAATACAAAAGTCAGCCGGGTGTGGTGGCCTGCACCTGTAGTCCCACCTACTCGGGAGGCTGAGGCAGGAGAATCGCTTGAACCTGGGAGACGGAGGTTGCAGTGAGCCCAGATCACGCCATTGCACTCCAGCCTGGGCTACAGAGTGAGACTCTGTCTCATAAATAAATGCATACATACATAAATAAATAAATAAGAGAGAGAGAGAAGAAAATTGTCTTTTTGCCCACAGCCTTGCACCCTGTAGATCCCTAAGCCCAGCCCTCCTCTATTCCGACGGAGGATGATGGCAGTACTGCGGTATTTAGCGGCTGCAGACTCGGAGACCCCACAGCAGCTCTGCCTTTCCCAGCGGAGTCTGTCCCCGTGTCTCTGCAGCGCGGCCTCCTCCTCGCTTGCATGTGGGCGGCAGAACTCACAGAACCCACAGCCCAGACCCACCCACCGCAGGTGTGCAACACCTGGAAGTCATTACTTCCACACACCGCATTTCCACCTGGACTGCCACTCCCACATGAGTTTTTCTCACCAGCCCAAGCCCATTCGTCCCAGTCCTGGAGACTCACCGAGGCAAAGCAGGGAGAGGAATTCTGCGGTCATAGCGTCCCTTCTGCCAGAACCAAGGCCCCGCCTTGGGTTTTACCCTTCAAAGGCGGAGCGGGACTGGGCCGGCCGCAGCTCTCCGGCTGCCCGGTTCGTCCCCAGGATGTGCAGATAGAGGAGGTTTTGCTCTGACACTCTGGTTCTCTGCCCCACTCTTGCAGTTTCCTTCTCACAACCGACTCAGGAAACAAGAAGCCGTCGATGATAACTTCTTCCCCATGAATCCGGTGTGTGTGGCCCCACCCGCCCGAGCTCTGTCCTACCTTATCTGAAGTTCTGCCAAGAGTTTTCTGTAAATGTAATTTTTTATTTTAAAACACTAATACCGGCCGGACGCGGTGGCTCACGCCTGTAATCCCAGCACCTTGAGAGGCTGAGGCGGGCGGATCACCTGAGGTCGGGAGTTCAAGACCAGCCTGACCAAAATGGAGAAACCCCCGTCTCTACTAAAAATACAAAATTAGCCAGGCATGGTGGCGCATGCCTGTAATCCCAGCTACTCCGGAGGCTGAGACAGGAGAATGGCTTGAACCCAGGAGGCGGAGGTTGCTGTGAGCCAAGATTGTGCCACTGCACTCCAGCCTGGACAACAACGGTGAAACTGTCTCAAACAAGCAAACAAACAAACATTAATACCTATAGCTTTATAGCTTCCGTGTACCCACTAGCCAGCTCCCCACAATGTTAACCTTTTTTTGGGGGGCGGGGGGGACAGAGTCTTGCTCTGTCACCCAGGCTGGAGTGCAGTGGCGCGATCTCGGCTCACTGCAACCTCTGCCTCATGGGTTTAAGGATTCTCCTGCCTCAGACTCCCAAGTAGCTGGGATTACAAGCATGCACCACCACACCCAGCTAATTTTTTGTAGAGATGGGATTTCACCATGTGGGCCAGGCTGGTCTTGAACTCCTGGTCTCTAGTGACCCGCCCACCTCAGCCTCCCAAAGTGCTGGGATTACAGGCATAAGCCACTGTGCCCGGCCAATGGTAATCTCTTATAATTACAGTACTTTTTTTTTTTTTTTTTTTTTTTGAGACAGAATCTCTGTCAGCCAGGCTGGAGTGCAGTGGCACAATCTTGGCTCACTGCAACCTCTGCCTCCCGGGTTCAAGCGATTCTCCTGCCTCAGCCTCCCGAGTTGCCGGGATGACAGGTGTCCGCCACCACTCTTGGCTAATTTTTTTTGTTCTTTTTAGTAGAAACGAGGTTTTGCCATGTTGCCCAGGCTGGTCTCGAACTTCTGACCTCAGGCGATCCGCCTGCCTCGGCCTCCCAAACTGCTGGGATTACAGGCGTGAGCCACCACGCCCGGCGTATGGCACATTTTCAAAACCAGAGACTTTGCACTGGCATCACACGTTTAACCAGGTTCCAGAGGTCACTCAGATCTCACCAGTTTGTGCATAATTCGTTTCTCTTTTTCTCTTCCTCTTCCTTCTATTTCTATTTCCTTTTCTCCTTTTCCTTCTTTTCTCCTGCTCTTCCTCCTCTTCCACCTTCTTTTCCTCCTCCCTTTTCTTTGCCTATGGGTATAGTTCTGTAACATTTTATTGCCTGTATGTATGGCTTTATAGAACCACCGCCACAATCAAGACACAGAACTGTCCCACCACCACGTAGGAACTCCCTCATGCTGCCCCTTTATAATCGCTCTCCCACCCTAGCACCTGCTAATCTGTTCTACGTCTCTATCACTTTGTCACTTTGAGACTCTTGTATAAATGGAATCGTCCATCGCCTCACCTTCTGAGGGTGACCTTTTTCACTCAGCACAATGCCTGTGAGATTCATTCAAATGGTTGTGTGTTATGATGATGGATACATTAGCCGGGCGTGGTGGCACACGCCCATAGTCCCAGCTACTCAGGAGGCTGAGGCAGGAGAATCGCTTGAACCCGGGAGGCGGAGGTTGCAGTGAGCTGAGATCACGCCACTGCACTCCAGCCTGGGTCACAGAGCAAGACTCCATCAAAAAAAAAGAATTATCTAATGGATACAATGTGTGTCACTGGGTTAGTGGATACCTGAAAGCCCTAACTTCATCATTTTGGAATCTATCCATGCAATAAAGTTACACTTGTACCCCATAAACGTATACAAATAAAAAATAATCGTCTGGGCATGATGACTTACCGCTGTAATCCCAGCACTTTGGGAGGCTGAGGCGGGATTACAGGTGTGAGCCACCATGCCCGGCCTATACTTTCTATCTTAATAACTACAAAAATAATAACTTGCTGGATGGGTCCCTGTGCCCACCCCGTCCTGTCCTAAGTGAGGAGGATGGGAAGAAAGCCATCGTCCTGTCCTGGTGCGGCTCTCAAACAGCTGGAAATGCTGGCTGCACAGGAAACTCTAAGGATCGGCAGCTCTAGCGCATGCTACCCTTGGCAGCTGTGTGGTCTGTGGATAGAGAAGGACCAACCTGTGGTTAGTGGAGGAAGAGGAGGAATATTGCTTTGATAAGCACATCCTCAGAGTTATAACAGAGGAGACAATAGTTATAAAATAAGAATGATATTTACGAAAAATAATAAGACTATTAACAAGAAACAGCAACAAATCTTGAAAACAAAATGTAACAACAAAACATAAATGTTGACTTTTTTTTTTTTTTTTTTTTTGAGACGGAGTCTCGCTCTGTCGCCCAGGCTGCAGTGCAGTGGTGAGATCTCGGCTCACTGCAACCTCTGCCTCCCGGGTTCCAGCAATTCTCCTGCCTCAGCCTCCTGAGTAGCTGGGATTACAGGCATGCACCACCACGCCCAGCTAATTTTTGTATTTTTAGTAGAGATGGGGTTTCACCATATTGGCCAGGATGGTCTCGATCTCTTGACCTTGTGATCCGCCCACCTCGGCCTCCCAGAGTGCTGGGATTATAGGCATGAGCCACAGCACCTGGCAACTGTTGACATTTTACATCTGCACCAGTAAGACTGGCTACCAATTACAAGCAAATGGATGCCATGGATAGAATGGAATTCCTGCCAAACTGGGTAAAATGTTGGAAACATATAAAATAAAATGTAAAAGAAATGTATTATAAATACAGGCTGGGCGTGGTGGCTCATGCCTGTAATCCCAGCACTTTGGGAAGCCAAGGTGGGCAGATCACTTGAGGTCAGGAGTTCGAGACCAGCCTCGCCAACATGGTGAAACCCCGTCTCTACTAACACACAAAAATTAGCCAGGCATGGTGGTGGGCGCCTGTAATCCCAGCTACTTGAGAGGCTGAGGCAGGAGAGTCACTTGAACCTGAGAGGGAGGTTGCAGTGAGCTGAAATTACGCCACTGCACTCCAGCCTGGGTGACAGAGTGAGACTCCCTCTCCAAAAAAAAAGAAAGAAAGAATGTATTATAAATACATATGACCAAGCACAGTGGCTAACGCCTGTAGTCCTGGCACTTTGGGAGGCCAAGATGAGAGGATCACTTGAGTCCAAGAGTTCGAGACCAAGTTGGGCCATATGGTGGAACCCGGCTTCTACAAAAAATACAAAATTTAGTCCGGCATGATGGCACACACCTGTGGTCCCAGCTACTCAGAAGGCTGAGATGGGAGGATTACTTTAGCCTGGGAGGTCGAGGCTGCAGTGAGCCGTGATCTAGCCACTACACTCCAGCCTGGGCGACAGAGTGAGACCCTGTCTCAAAATAAATAAATATAATAAATAAATAAATATGTATATCCCAATATTGGACTAAATGCTGGTCCAGAAGCACAAAATAGAAAGAACGGAGAGGAAGTATTAATAAATATTACACAGGAAGCAATGTTTTTCCCTTCGTGTGGAGGAAGAGTTCCCCGCAGGTGAGAGTCACCTACTACTCAATCTGACTCTGAAGTTTTAAGTATTGATTCAAGTTATCAAAAATGTATTAAGGGCTGGGCACGGTGACTCAAGCCTGCAATCCCAGCACTTTGGGAGGCCGAGGTGGGCTGATCACTTGAGCTCAGGTGTTCAAGACCAGCCTGGCCAACATGGGTGAAACCCCATCTCTACTAAAAGTACAAAAATTAGCTGGGCATGGTGGCAGGCGCCTGTAATCCCAGCGACTTGGGAGGCTAAGGCAGGAGAATCGCTTAAACCCAGGAGGTGGAGGTTGCAGTGAGCCGAGATCTTGCCATTGCACTGCAGCCTGGGTGACAGAGCGAGACTCCGTCTCAAAGAAAAAAAAAAAAAGTATTACGTGGCTCATTGTGCCCAATTCTGTCCTCTGTCCCCAGTGAAAAGTACAGGAAGAAGAAAGCCACCATCCTGCCCTACAGCAGATCCCAACAGAGCTGAGAGTGCAGGTTCCACAGAAAGCGGTTAAGGCTCAGCTGGTCCAACCCATCATTCCCTGGGCAGCTGTGGGATCTATGGCTAGAGAAGAACAGAGCTGAGCTTAGAGGGGAAGGAAGAGGAGGAAGATTGTTTTCTCCCGGCATCCAAACACAGCTTTTCAACCAGGGGGAGCACCACCCTCACTTCCCATCGCCCCATCCAGGGATATTTGAAAGGTATGAGAGTAGTGGCTTTTTTGTTGTTGTTGTTTCACAATAATTAGGTCTCCAACAGGTGTTCAATGGGAAAGGAAGTATTAGCAATGTCGAGTTACGTGTTCCTATAATGGACAAGACAGTCTCACATGGTGAAGGACTATTGCACTTTAAACACCATTTGTGGCCATGCCCGGTGGTGCACACCTGTAATCCCAGCACTTTGGGAGGCTGAGGCAGGTGGATCACTTGAGGCCAGGAGTTCGAGACCAGCCTGACCAATGTGGCGAAACCCCGTCTCTCCTAAAAATACAAAAAAATTAGCCAGATGGTGGCAGGTGCCTGTAGTTGCAGCCACTTGGGAGGCTGAGGCAGGAGAATCACTTGAACCTGGCAGGCGGAGGTTGCAATGAGCCGAGATCGCACCACTGCACTCTGGCCTGGGCGACAAAGCGAGACTCTGTCTCAAAACAAACAAACAAACAAAAAAACAAAAAATACCATTTGTGCCCATGTGGAGAAACGTGTGAAGTCCCCATGGTAGAGTCTGATGTTTAAAGAACCCCATATGGATTGAATGCACAGCAGGGCGGCTACAGTTCACAAGGCTGCACTGGGTAATTACAATTTGCTAAGAAGGTGGATCTTAAACAGAAAGGTCCATAAGCTAGATTGAGATAACCATTGTCACAATGAGTGAAATTTCTTCCTCGGCACACAATTAATTACTTAGTTAGTAGGAAAGTTCCCAGAAGGTGGATCTTAAACAGAAAAGTCCATTAGCTACATTGTGATAATCATGTCACAATTAGTGAAATTTCTTCTTTGGTACACAATTAATTATTTAGTAGGGAGGTTCCCAGAAGGTGGATCTTAAACAGAAAGGTTCGTTAGCTACATTGTGATACTCATGTCACAATCAGTGAAATTTCTTCCTTGGTACACAATAAATTACTTAGTAGGAGGGTTCCCCACCCGTAGGCTTATGGGGGTATAATTGATAAATCAAAATGGAATATATCAAAACATCACGTTGTACACAAATATAACTCCATTTTTATTTGTCGATTAGATCTCAATAAATCTGGAGCAGAAGAGAATTCCATATCTCTACAGCAGCCCATGAAAGAGAGAGGGGATCCGTGTTTTAACTTGGATCTGTTACTGGAAAGGGGTCCCAGTCCAGACCCCAAGAGAGGGTTCTCGGATCTCACACAAGTAAGAACTCAGGGTGAGTACACAGAGTAAAGTGAAGGCAAGTTTATTAAGAAAGTCAAGGAATATGGCTGCTCCATAGGCAGAGCAGTCCAGAGGGCTGTCAGTCGGCTATTTTTGTGGTTATTTCTTGATCGTATGCTAAACAAGGGGTGGACTGTTCATGAGTTTTCCAGGAAAGGGGAGGGGATTTCCCTGGAACTGAGAGTCCCTCCCTCGTTTAGCTTCTGGAAGTTGCCATGGCATCTGTAAGCTGTCTTGGTGGCGGTGGGAGTGTCTTTTAGCATGCAAATGCATTATAATTAGCAAATAATGTGCAGTGAGGACGACCAGAAGTCACTTTTGTTGCCATCTTGGATTTGGCAGGTTTTGGCTGGCTTCTTTGTTGCATCTTTGTGTCTTTGGGTCTTTGTGACCTGTATGTTGTGACCTGTCTCATCCTGTGACTTAGAAAGCCTCAACCCCCTGGGAATGCAGTCCAGCAGGTTGCAGCCTCAGTTTACCCAGCCCCGGTTCAAGATGGAGTCACTCTGGTTTGAAGGCCTCTGATTCACCTGGAGACACATTCCGGCTGTACCAGGCCTCCACCAGGAAAGCTCCCATGATAACCACAATTACGGCAGCCAGACCCAGTCGTACGAAGTTACCCAGGGAGTAGTTGCTCGATGTGGTACCTGGGGGAACTGAAAGAGAGAAGGGGCTCAGCACTGACCCTCAGAGGGTATCCCTCCTTCTCAAATGGCCCCACCAAATCTGACTATCATCACCCACTTAATGTTTTCGGTTTTTTGGTTTTTTTTTTTGAGACGGAGTTTTACTCTTGTTGACCAGGCTGGAGTGCAGTGGTGTAATCTCAGCTCACCACAACCTCTGCCTCCCAGGTTCAAGCCTCCCTGCCTCAGCCTCCCAAGTAGCTGGGATTACAGGCATGTGCCACCATGCCCGGCTAATTTTATATTTTTAGTAGAGACGGGGTTTCGCCATGTTGGCCAGGCTGGTCTTGAACTCCCGACCTCAGGTGACCCGCCCACCTCAGCCTCCCAAAGTGCTGGGATTACAGGTGTGAGCCACCGCGCCCGGCCACCCACTTAATGTTTTCTAGCCAGTAGTCCACTGTACTTTAAAGTTTTAATTGAACTTTTTTTTTTTCTTGAGATCAAGTTTTGCTCTTGTTGCCCAGACTGGAGTGTAATGGCACAATCTCAGCTCACTACAACCTCTGCCTCCCGGGTTCAAGTGATTCTCCTGTCTCAGCCTCCCAAGCAGCTGAGATTATGAGCATGTGCCACCACACCCGGCTAATTTTGTATTTTTAGTAGAGACGGGGTTTCTCCATGTTGGTCAGGCTGGTCTCGAACTCCTGACCTCAGGTGATCCACCCGCCTTGGCCTCCCAAAGTGTTGGGATTATAGGCATAAACCACCATGCCTGGCCATAATTGAGCTCTTTAAAGTTTTAATCCCTGAAAACAAAAGATGGAATCTTTGTTGTTGTTTTTGAGACGACGTCTCACTCTGTTGCTCAGGCTGGAGTGCAGCGACGCAGTCTCGGTTCACTGCAACCTCCACCTCCTGGGTTCAAGCGATTCTCCTGCCTCAGCCTCCCGAATAGCTAGGATTACAGGCACCTACCACCACACCCGGCTAATTTTTGTATTTTTAATAGAGATGGGTTTTCGCCATGTTGGCCAAACTGGTTTCGAACTCCTGGCCTCAAGTGATTCGCCTGCCTCGGCCTCCCAAGGTGCTGGGATTACAGGCCTGAGCCACCGCGCCCGGCCAAGATATGCAATCCTAATGAGTTGTAATGGGAGTTCCTTTATCTTCCTTCCTTGATATTCACTCCACCTTAGCTCTCTTCCTTCGTTTATTTGCTCTTTATCCCATTTCCACCTTCCCACATTGCCTTTTCTCCTCCCGCATCCTTATGTTAAGGAATAGTCTTGGGGCAGCACATGAGACGGAAGGAGCTCTACAGAGCCCCGAATTCCGTGGCTGGATCAGCATCCTCGCAGCCCACACTGCTGTGCAGCAGTGCACCTGAGAAAGTTTGAGTTGAGGCCGGGCACAGTAGCTCACGCCTGTAATCCCAGCACTGTGGGAGGCTAAGGTAGGAGGATTGCTTGAGGCCAGGAGTTTGAGAGCAGCCTGGGCAACATGGCGAAACCCCATGTCTACTAAAAATACAAAAAAATTAGCCGGGTGTGGTGGCGGGTGCCTGTAATCCCAGCTACTCAGGAGGCTGAGGCAGGAGAATTACTTGACCTGGGCCTGGGGTTGGGGGGTGGAGGCTGCAGTGAGCTCAGATTGTGCCACTACACTCCAGCTTGGGCGACAGAGTGAGACTCCATCTCAAAGAAAACAAACAAACAAACAAAACCCTAGCCTCCAGATTTTCAGGGAGGCTGATTTGAGTAATAATAAAACTCTGATTGGCCAGGTGCAGTGGCTCATGCCTGTAATCCCAGCACTTTGGGAGGCCCAAGCGGGCAGATCACGAGGTCAGGAGTTCGAGACCAGCCTGGCCAATATGGTAAAACCCCATCTCTACTAAAAATACAAAAATTAGCCAGGCAGGGTGGCACACATATAGTCCCAGCTACTCGGGAGGCTGAGGCAGAAGAATCGTTTGAACCTGGGAGGCAGAGGTTTCATTGAGCCGAGATCGCGCCACTGCACTCCAGCCTGGGCGACAGAGCAAGACTCCGTCTCAAACAAACAAACAAACAAAAAAACTCTGGTCTCCCACTTACCTGGCTCAATGTGTATTAAACTCTTTTTTGCAATTCCTCTGTCTTGATGAATGGGCTTCATCCAGGCACCCGGCAAGAGCTGTAATGTAACTCATTACAGCAGTTACAATAGATGAAAAATAATTTACAGAGCTGAGGAAGCAGAGTGCTAGCACCCAGTAAGGCAGGAAACAAGATACTTTCAGAAGAATTCTAGCAGTCAATAAAAGACATGGGTAGACTTCGCATCCACGGCATAGAAGCAGGAGGCTGTGCAAACACCATGTTCTGAGGATGAGATAATTTTTTTTTTTAATTTGAAACTGGGTCTCACTATGTTGCCCAGGCTGGTCTCAAACTCCTGGGCTCAAGCAATTCTCCAGCCTCAGCCTCCCAAAGTGCTGGGATTACAGGCCTGAGCCACCGCACATGACTGAGAAAGAATTATTGAGAGTGAAATCACTAACACCAAGAAAAACCAAAACACGCCATGCACAGTGGTTCACACCTGCAATCCCAGCCCTTTGGGAGGCCGAGGTGAGTGGATCACCTGAGGCCAGGGGTTCAAGACCAGCCTGGTCAACATGGTCAGAACCCCATCTCTACTAAAAATACAAAAATTAGCCAGGCGTGGTGGTGGGCACATGTAATCCCAGCTACTCAAGTGGCTGAGGCAGGAGAATTGCTTAAACTCGGGAGGCAGAGGTTGCAGTGAGCTGAGATCGCACCACTGCACTCCACCCTGGGCAACAGAGCGAGACTCTGTCTCAAAAACAAAATGAAACAAAACAAAACAAAAAACCAAAACGCTAAGAGATGCAAAGACTGGTAGAAGGAATCTGGTGCTGGTAGATTCATAATTTTCAAAAACAGCCTAGAAATTTTCCAAGGATGTAGTATAACAAAAAGGCAAAGGAGGGCCGGGCACGGTGGCTCACACCTGTAATCCCAGCACTTTGGGAGGCCGAGGCAGGCAGATCACCTGAGGTCAGGAGTTCAAGACCAGCCTGGTCAACACGGTGAAACCTTCATCGCTACTAAAAATAGAAAAATTAGCCGGATGGGTGGTGCAGGCCTGTAATCCTAGCTACTTGGGAGGCTGAGGCAGGAGAATCACTTGAACCTGGAAGGTGGAGGTTGCAGTGAGCGAAGATCGCGCCATTGCACTCCATCCTGGCAACAGAGTGAGACTCCATTTCAAAAAAAAAAAAAAAAAAAAAAGGCAAAGGAGTGGAAATTGTGAAAGGGAGGTTTTTTTGTTGTTTTGTTGTTTTTGTTTTTGTTTTTTGTTTTTTGTTTTTGAGACAGAGTCTCACTCTATTGCCCAGGCTGGAGTGCAGTGGCAAGATCTTGGCTCACTGCAACCTCCGCCTCCCATGTTCAAGCAATTCTCCTGCCTCAGCCTCCCAAGTAGCTGGGTCTACAGGTGCATGCCATCATACCTGGCTAATTTTTTATTTTTAGTAGAGACGGGGTTTCACTATGTTGGCCAGGCTGGTCTCAAATCCTTGACCTCAGATGATCCATCCACCTCGGCCTCCCAAAGTGCTGGGATGACAGGCATGAGCCACCACGCCAGGCCAGAAAGGGAAGATTTTGTTAAGAGCGATGATATTGTAAGTAATGAAGAAATGAGATTCACAGAAGAACAAAACAATCTCTGATTAAAAACAACACACACAGTTCCTCAAAACCATACACGCCCTTACCTGTCACCAATATCTCAAGCTGATCACTGGGTTCTGAGGCCCAGAAGGGAGACTTTGTCTGGTAGTACATGCAGCTGTAGTTCCCAGCATCGCCGGCTGTCACGTCCACCAGAGAGAAGTCTATCTCCTTCCCCGCTGGACTCTGCAGCTGGATGGGTGATGGCGTCCCTGCCTTCAGTAGAGCGAACATGATAGGCACAAACAATTGGTCTCGCTTCTGGCACTGCAGAGTCACCCTTCCACCTGCGGTCACTGTACCCCTTTGGTAGGTTCGGAGGAAAGGTTTAGATAAATGTCCTGTAAGAGAAGTCAGGTTCTGAGGTCCTGGGGAGAAGTCTGGAATCCCCCACTCACCCCTGTTCTCCTGGCCGGAGGCTCTCGTGGAGTGTGGGAAATGAGAGATTCCTGATCTCTTCTACCTTCCTCCACTTCCTACTCCGACCCCAGGACAGAGATTCTCCCTCCTACAAGACCTGTGTAAGGCCTGGCATGGTGGCTCACACCTGTAATCCCAGCACTTTGGGAGGCCAAGGCGGGTGGATCACCTGAGGTCAGGAGTTCGAGACCAGCCTGCCCAACATGGCGAAACCCTGTCTCTACTAAAAATACAAAAATTAGCCGGGCATGGTGGCAGGCACCTGTAATCCCAGCTGCTCAGGAGGCTGGAGCAGGAGAATCACTTGAGCCCAGGAGGCGGAAGTTGCAGTGAGCCGAGATGGCACCACTGCACTCTGGCCTGGGCGACAAAGTATAAAACCAACATATGCAATTTCGTTCCTGTCTCTCTCCCTCTCCCATCACCCCCAACTACTCTGAAGGTGGGACCCCTTTTCTCCCTCTGTTCCTCCACTTCCTCCCTCATCCCCTGTCCCCCGTATGTCATTGGCAGGCACCCTGTCTGTACCTGTCACCAACAGTAGAAGGACGTCACTGCGCTGTGAAAGGATGTGGGGGGATGCTTTTCTGTAGTATTCACAGGTGTACTCTCCAGCATTTCTGACTTTTAGATTATTGAGGTGAAATTCGGCCGCGCCCTCTGTAGAATCAAGGGGCTTCGGGGACTCCAGAATAATTCCTCCCTTCCTGAGAACAAAGCTCACACCTCTGGCAGGAGTCCAACATCGCAGCGTCACATTGCTGTTGGCAGGGACCACCGAGCTGGGCCAGGCACTGAGGGACGGCTTGGGCAGTGACCCTGGAAGGAAGCAGAGCCTGATGCTGGACCCGATGCCCTCCCCTGCTCTCAGGAAGCCCTTTTTAAAATTTATTATTATTATTATTATTTTGAGATGGAGTCTCCCTCTGTTGCCCAGGCTAGAGTGCAGTGGTGCAATCTCAGTTCACTGCAACCTCCGTCTCCTGGGTTAAAGCAATTCTCCTGCCTCAGCCTCCCAAGTAGGTGGGATTACAGGCACGCACCACCACACCCAGCTAATTTTGTATTTTAGTAGAGACAAGGTTTCACCATGTTGGCCAGGCTGGTCTCGAACTCCTGACCTCAGGTGATCCACCCACCTTGGCCTCCCAAAGTGCTGGGATTACAGGCGTGAACCCCTGAGCCCAATCAGGAATCCCATTTTAAGAAGGGAAGCGGGCTGGGTGCGGTGGCTCACGCCTGTAATCCCAGCACCTTGGGAGGCCAAGGCAGGCAGATCACGAGGTCATGAGATCGAGACCATCCTGGCCAACATGGTGAAACTCCGTCTCTACTAAAAATACAAAAATTAGCTGGGCGTGGTGGCAAGCACCCGTAGTCCCAGCTACTTGGGAGGCTGAGACAGGAGAATCACTTGAGCCCAGGAGGCGGAGGTTGCTGTAAGCCGAGATTGCACCACCGCACTCCAGCCTGGCGAAAGAGTGAGACTCCGTCAAAAAAAAAAGAGAAAAAGAGGGGGAAGGGGAAGAGAACAGCAGGGGATTTGGGATGACAGGCCAAGGAGGGTGTAGTTGAAGAAACACTCACCATCTCCCCTTGTGTCTCCTTGGCCCACGCACAGTCCTGCAAGACAATCCTCCGTGAGCCAGAAGCCCCTACCTGGAGCCACGTCACCCCCTGCCCTGACCCCTGGAGATCGTCCCAGAGTCTCCTGCTGAGAACAGACCCTTAGAGGTCATACGCTCAGGAGTTCTCATTCTCCCCACACTGGACTGTGGCTTCTGCTCGACTTCCAGCTCCTCCATCCTTTCCCAGCGATTCTCCTTGACCATCCTGTGTGGCTGTCACCTCCCCCTGCTCCAGGCCTTTCCCACAAATCCTTCCATTCTCATCTTCTGTTTGAAAACAGCACTCATTCTTACCATTTCTTTCTTTCTTTCTTTTTCTTTCCTTTCTTTCTTTCTTTTTTCTTTCTTTCATTCATTCTTTCTTTCATTCATTCCAGAGACAGAGTCTCGCTCTTTCTTTCTTTTTCTTTCTTTCTTTCTTTCATTCATTCTTTCTTTCTTTCATTCATTCTTTCTTTCTTTCATTCATTCCAGAGACAGAGTTGCGCTCTGTCGCCCAGGCTGGAGTAGAGTGACGCAATCTCGGCTCACTGCAACCTCCGCCTCCCGGGTTCAAGTGATTCTCCTGCCTCAGCCTCCCAAATAGCTGGGATCACAGGCATGCGCCAGGACGCCCGGCTGAGTTTTGTATTATTAGTAGAGACAGGGTTTCACCATATTGGCCAGGCTGGTCTCGAACTCCTGACCTCAGGTGATCCACCCACCTCGGCCTCCCAAAGTGCCGGGATTACAGGCATGAGCTTTGTGCCCAGCTTCTTTTTATTTTTTAATTTTTCATTTTATTATTGTGTTTTGAGACAGGGTCTCTCTCTGTTGCCCAGGTTGGAGTGCAGTGGCTCCATCATGGCTCACTGTAGCCTCCCAGGCTCAAGTGATCCTCCCACCTCAGCCTCCCGAGTAGCTGGGATCACAGGTGTGCACCACCACACCCGGCTAATTTTTTAGTCTTTCCCAGAGACAGAGTCTCCCTATGTTGCCCAGGCTCATGATCTCTTTTAATCCCTTCATGACTCCAAACAGGACAAAATTTATTGTTTGGTGTCCTGTAACAAGCCTCAAAACATCCAAATGGTCATTCCAGAAAGGGGAAAGCATACGTTCCTCCCTGTTTCACACATGGCTGCATTTGCTCTTCCTCCTTTTTAATTTTTTTTGATAGAGACAGGGCTGGGCTGGTTAAGAACTCTTGACCATGCCGGGCGCGGTGGCTCCCGCCTGTAATCCCAGCACTTTGGGAGGCCGAGGCAGGTGGATCACGAGGTCAGGAGTTGAAGACCAGCCTGGCCAACATGGTGAAACCCCGTCTATACTAAAAATACAAAAATTAGCCAGGTGTGGTGATGGGCGCCTGTGATCCCAGCTACTCAGGAGGCTGAGGCAGAGAATCGCTTGAACCCAGGAGGCAGAGTTTGCAATGAGCTGAGATCGCACCACTGCACTCCAGCCTGGCCACAGCGCGAGACTCAGTTTCAGGAAAGAAAAAAAAAAGAGAAAGAAAAGAAAAAACATAATATCAAGCCTGTTTATGAACATTATCATAATAATGAGATTGATCTAACTCAAAGAAAGTTAGTTAGGCCTGTGTCTCTGAGAGATTTCCTCTTTTTCCCCTGTGTGAACAGTTTTAGGTCTCAGCAGGAAAAAGGAGAAGTTACCAGGCGTTTGTGCTACTATTACATCCATGAGCCAATCCATAAACTGACACTTCAAGTTTTGCAAAAGGAAATTGTGAACACCCAAAATGTTCAAACAACGTAAGTGTCCATCCATGGAAGAATGGATAAACACAGTGTGCTCTATATATTCAATGGGATTTTTCTTCTTTTTCTTCGTTTTTTTTTTTTTTTTTTTTGAGACATAGTTTCATTCTTGTTGCCCAGGCTGGAGTGCAATGGCGCGATCTCGGCTCACTGCAACCTCCGCCTCGCGGGTTCAAGTGATTCTCCTGCCTCAGCCTCCCAAGTAGCTGGGATTACAGCTCACTGCAACCTCCGCCTTGCAGGTTCAAGTGATTCTCCTGCCTCAGCCTCCCAAGTAGCTGGGATTACAGCTCACTGCAACCTCCGCCTTGTGGGTTCAAGTGATTCTCCTGCCTCAGCCTCCCAAGTAGCTGGGATTACAGGCATGCACCACCATGCCCAGCTAATTTTGTATTTTTTAGTAGAGACAGGGTTTCACCATGTTGGTCAGGCTGGTCTTGAACTCCCCACCTCAGGTGATCCGCCCATCTTAGCCTCCAAAATGCTTTTTTCTTTTTCTTTTCTTTCTTTCTTTTTTTTTTTTTTTTTTTTTTGAGGCAGGGTCTCGCTCTGCTGCCCAGGCTGGAGTGCAATGATGTGATCCTAGTTCATTCCAGCATCAACTCCCTGGGCTCAGGTGATCCTCCCACCTCTGCCTCCCGAGTAGCTGGGACTACAGCTGCACACCACCATGCCCAGCTCATTTTTGTTGTTGTTGTTGTTTTTAATATTTATTTATTTATTTTGAGATGGAGTTTCGCTCTTGTTGCCCAGACTGGAGTGCAATGGCATGATCTCGGCTCACTGCAACCTCTGACTCCTGGGTTCAAGCGATTCTCTTGCCTCAGCCTCCCAAGTAGCTGGGATTACAGGCGCCCGCCACCACGCATGGCTAATTTTTATATTTTTAGTAGAAATGGGGTTTCACCCTATTGGCCAGGCTGTTCTCGAACTCCTTACGTCAGGTCATTGCAAAAAAAGTGCTGGGATTACAGGCGTGAGCCACCATGCCCAGCCTCATTTTTGTATTTTTTGTAGAGACAGGGTTTCACCATGTTGCCCAGGCTAGTCTCGAACTCCTGGGCTCAAGCGATCTGCCTGCCTCAGACTCTCAAAGTGCTGGGATTACAGGTGTGAGACACTGTGCTCGGCCTACAGTGGGATTTTAGCCATAAAAAGGAAAGGAAATCTGACATATCCTACAATATAGATGTAGCTCGAGGATATTATGCTGAGTAAACTAAGTCAGGCAAAAAAGAACAAGTGTTATGATTCCACTCATACATCCTAGAATAAGCAAATTCATAGAGATAAAAATTAGAATGGGCTGGACACGGTGGCTCACGCCTGTAATCCCAGCACTTTGGGAGGCCGAGACAGGCAGATCACAAAGTCAGGAGATCGAGACCAGCCTGGTCAACATGGTGAAACCTTGTCTCTACTAAAAAAAAAAAAAAAAAAAACTTAGCCAGGCATGGTGGTGAGCGCCAGTGATCCCAGCTACTCGGGAGGGAGAGGCAGGAGAATCGCTTGAACCCAGGAGGCGGAGGTTGCAGTGAGCTGAGATTAGGCCACTGTACTCCAGCCTGGGTGACGAAGCAAGACTCCATCTCCGAAAAAAAAAAAAAAAAAAAGAAATTAGAATGGAGGTTACCAGGGGCTGGGAGGACCGCGGCAAATACAGAGTTATTGGTTAGAGGGTGTAGCGTTCATATTGGGAATTGTGATTGTTAATTTGATTTATCAGCTAGACCAGGCCACAGGATGCTGGGATATCTGGTTAAACATTATTTCTGGGCGTGTCTGTGAGGGTGTTTTTAGAAAGATCAGCATTTGAATCTAATGCTGAGTCGGGCAGGTTGGCCTTCCTAATGGAGGTGGGTATTCTGCTGAGGGCCAGGATGGGAGAAAAAGGTGGCAGAGCCACCACAGTGGCTCACGCCTGTAATCCCAGCACTTTGGGAGGCCAAGGCAGAAGGGCTGCTTGAGGCCAGGAGTTTGAGACCAGCCTGAGTAACATAGTGAGATCCCGTCTCTACAAAAAATTTAAAAATTACACGGGGCACTGTGGCTCACGCCTGTAATCCCAGCACTTTGGGAGGCTGAGGCTGAGGCGGGCAGATCACCTGAGGTGATCACCTGAGGGAGCTCAAGACCAGCCTGGCCAACATGATGAAACCCCGTCTCTACTAAAAAGTACAAAAAATCAGCCGGGTGTGTGGTGGGCACCTGTAATCTCAGCTACCCAGGAGGCTGAGGCAGGAGAATTGCTTGAGCCCAGGAGGTGGAGGCTGCAGTGAGCTGTGGTCATACCACTGCACTCCAGCCTGGGTACAGAGTGAGACTTTGTCTCAAAAAAAGGAAAAGGAGGGAAGGAAGGAAGGAAGTAAGGAAGGAAGGAAGGAAGGGAAAGAGAGAGAGGAAGGAAGGAATGAAGGAGAAAGAGAAAGAAAGAAAGGAAGGAAGGAAGAAAGAAAGAAAGAAAGAAAGAAAGAAAGAAAGAAAGAAAGAAAGAAAGAAAGAAAGAAAGAAAGAAAGCAAGCAAGCAAGCAAGCAGGCAAGCAAGCGGGGGCTCACGCCTGTAATCCCAGCACTTTGGGAGGCCGAGGCGGGCAGATCAAGAAGTCAGGAGATGGAGACCATCCTGGCTAACACAGTGAAACCTACGAAAAAAGCCGGGCATGGTGGCGGGCGCCTGTAGTCCCAGCTACTCGGGAGGCTGAGGCAGGAGAATGGCGTGAACCCGGGAGGCGGAGCTTGCAGTGAGCAGAGATCGCACCACTGCACTCCAGCCTGGGCGACAGAGCGAGACTCCATCTCAAAAAAAAAAAAAAGAAAGAAAGAGAGAGAGAGGAAGGAAGGGAGGAAGGAAGGAAGGAAGGAAGGAAGGAAGGAAGGGAAGGAGAAAAAGAAAGAAAGGAAGGAAGGAAGGAAGAAAGAAAGAGGTTTTAGTGTAGATAGTGGTGATGGTTACACAGCGGCCTCAATTTACTTTATAGTTATCTATTTGACACTAAATTTTTATTTATGGTATTAAGGTTTCTGGGCCAGGCACAGTGGCTCACATCTGTAATCCCAGCACTTTGAGAGACTGAGGTGGGCAGATCACCTGAGGTCGGGAGTTCGAGACCAGCCTGGCCAACATGGTGAAACACTGTCTCTACTAAAAATACAAAAATTAACCAGGCATGGTGGCGCACCCCTGTAATCCAGTTACTCAGGAGGCTGAAGCAGGAGAATCGCTTGAACCCGGGAGGCAGAGGTTGTGGTGAGCCGAGATCATGCCATTGCACTACAGCCTGGGCAACAAGAGCAAAACTCTGTCTCAAAAAAATAAAATAAAATAAAATAAAATAAGGTTTCTATTCTGAATACTTTTACTTACACACAAAAAGTCAGAGTTGATCCTGAGAAAAGGGGTAAGCCAATGAAGCCAGGTGGTGGAGGCATTCAGCAAAACTCACGAAGTTGAAACTACAGGAGTTGAAGTTTGCAGAGCACTCGTTTCCAGGGAATGTCTGCACTGCACTCAGCAGGACGTCTCACTCCTCCCGTGTGCTCAGTAAGCCAAAGTTGATGTTATTATTTCCATCCCCAGCCCAACTATCCCACCAGTTCCATGATTTTCTGCAGTCCCAGTGGATAGCCCTGTGAGACTTACTGAAACAGAGGAGGGAAAGCAGCTTAGGGATCATGATGGCTCCTTAGCCCTCCCAGAGTCCGTCTTGGGTTCTGCAGTCCACAGATGGGAGAAGAGCTGGAGTCGTCGCTGCCTCTCTCCCACCCCAGAGTGTGGGCAGTAACAGCCTTTCCTAGCCTTTCAGTTTCCCCTCCCATATCCACATTCAGGAAACATGTTGATGTTGCTGATTGCAACATGCTCCTTACACACACCAGTGTTCGAGCACTTGACTCACAGGAAATGCTCCTCTGTCTCAGGCAGATTTCAGGCATCAAACAGGTAACCCCGAAAATGCTTCAGACTTGGCCCTGAAGGGTTCGTATTGAAGAGATGAAAGCACTTCACTCTTTTTTTTTTTTTTGAGATGGTGTCTGGTTCTGTTACCTGGGCTGGAGTCCAGTGGCACGATCTCAGGTCATTGCAACTTCAGCCTCCTGGGTTCAAGCAATTCTCCGGCCTCAGCCTCCCAAGTAGCTGGGATTATAGGCGCATGCCACCATGCCCGGCTAATGTTTGTATTTTTAGTTAAGATGAGGTTTCACAAGTTAGCTGGGCTAGTCTTGAACTCCTCGCCTCAAGTGATCCACCTGCCTCGGCCTCCCAAACTGCTGGGATTACAGGCATGAGCCACTGTGCCAGGCCTTCATCACCATTTTTTTTTTTTCTTTTGAGACAGAGTTCCACTCTTTCGCCCAGGCTGGAGTGAAGTGGCAAAATCTCATCTCATTGCAACCTCCACCCCCCAGGTTCAAGCGGTTCTCCTGCCTCAGCCTCCCAAGTAGCTGGGATTACAGGAGCCCTTCAACATGCCCAGTTAATTTTTGTATTTTTTAGTAGAGATGAGGTTTCACCATGTTGGCCAGGCTGGTCTCAAACTCCTGATCTCAAGTGATCCACCCACCTCAGCCTCCCAAAGTGCTGGGATTACAGGCATGAGCCACTGTGCCCAGCCAGTCATGAGCTCATTTTTTAAGTTCAGAATATTTCAGTACATATCTATCTTTATCAAATAAGAACCATTTTAAAAATAATATAAGCACCACAGCACTGTCACATCAAGAAAGTTAAGAGTACCTCCTTGATACCAGCTAATACCCATTCAGTACTCAAATTTCCCTGATTGTCTCAAAAATGTCATTTCTATCAGGTTTTTAAAGAATAAATCAGGATCCAATAAAAGTCTACAGATTGCATTTGATAATTATGTTAATTTAGCCTGGCGCAGTGGCTCATGCCTGTAATCCCAACACTTTGGGAGACCGGGGCAGGTAGATAACCTGAGGTCAGGAGTTCGAGACCAGCCTGGCCAACCATGGTGAAACCTCATCTCTACTAAAAATACAAAAATTAGCTGGGCGTGGTGGTGCACGCCTGTAATCCCAGCTACTCAGGAGGCTGAGGCAGGAGAACTGCTTGAACCTGGGAGGCAAAGGTTGCAGTGAGCTGAGATCGCACCATTGCACTCCAGCCTGGGCAACAGAGTGAGACTCAGTCTCAAAAAAAAAAAAAAAAATGTTAATTTGAATCAGACAAAATTTTTTATTTTTTTGTTAAAATAAGAAATCAAGCAAGTTAGTTTTTAACCATGTTTTTTTTCATCTTGCATTTGGAAGAAGAGCAAAATGCCCCGAAGTCTCGTTTTTGTTTTCGGATTTTTTGTCTTGATAGCACCTACTCTTCTTACTGTTTTGGAACATAGAAAAGTCAACAAGGCAACAAATTATAAGGAGTAAAACCAACTATAATTACAGGTGTTTCTTTGAAAGTTATTTTCACAAGATGTGGCAATGATTTTTAAAGGCTTGGGACTCTTACAAGACCCTTTTGTTCAAATAACAGTTTTGTGTATGAATTTATTTCAACAGAGAACAATTTAGTAATGTTTGTGAATATTCATTTAGTTCTCCATATTGTACCAGAAAACAAGACTGATATTCTTGTGAATCTTCTCAATTCAACTCTTTATCAAATCAGATTCCTTAAATTAGTGTTGTGACTCAGAAAAAATCTTTCTCCTTATGCAGTATCAGGGAAAAGAGGACATCTCCTATATTTCTTCTTAACATCTCTGTTGCTAACAAGGAATATGCATATTTTAAAACTAGGCTCTGGAATTTTATCAGTCAACAGGAAAGGCCTGGTAAAGTTCCATTCCACTTGGAAATGAAGAAAGGAGACCCTGATTCAAAAAACGAAAAAAGAAAGAATAAAGAATAGCTTAGGGCCAGGCAAGGTGGATCACACCTGTAATCCTAAGATTTTGGGAGGTGAGGTAGGTGGAAGGCTTGATCCCAGGAGTTCAACACCAGCCTGGGCAACATGGCCTAATCCCATCTCTACAAAAAATACAAAAATTAGCCAGGCTTGGTGGTATATACCTGTAATCCCAGCTTCTCAGGAGGCTGAGGTGGGAGAATCACTTGAACCTGGGAGGGGGAGGTGGCAGTGAGCTGAGATCGCACCATTGTACCCCAGCCTGGGCAACAAGAGTGAAACTCCATCTCAAAAAATAATAATAAAATAAATAAATAAATAATCATTCACTTTGTTAGGTGTTTATCACACCTAACCTTAAGAATATGTTACCAAAATAAAAAGTCTTATAGATGAAATCATATTATATCTGAGGTTTACTTTAAAATACTCCAGGAGAAAATTTAAAATAGACTTGGGGGAGGGGACTTATCTGTAGTTATCTGCACATAATCTACATGATTATCTCAAAGCCATCCTTTTGCTGTTGAGAATTCTGATTTTTAGCTGGGCCCATTGGCACCCAGGTAAAAAACTACATTCTTCAGTGTCACTTACAGGTAGATGTAGCCGTAAGTCTTCATCTAGGACAATGATAAATAAGCATAAATATTGTAGACAGCTTCCAAAAGGTTCTTTAATGAAGTACACTTTCCTTCCTTCACTTAACTGCCTAAAATGTGGATGTGATGACTGGTATTCTAGCGTCATCTTGAACCATGAAGATGAGATGAGGTTCAAGATGGTGGAGGGTGAGCCAGAAGTAACTTAGGTCCATAATGCTTTTTGGAGTCACTGTGCCAGCCTTGGACTGCTCCCTTCAGATTTATTCTACATAAGGGAGAAATCAATTGGTATTAGTTTTAAGTCATCATTATTTAGTTCTCTTTTGGGTTTAGGTTATCAATTACTGTGTTAACAAACCACCCCAAAACTGAGTAACTTAGAGTAACAATCTTGTTTTTTTTTTTTTTTAATCATTCCTGATCTGGTGAGATGACTGGGCTCAGTTGAGCGGTTCTTCGGTTCAATGTGATGTCTTCCTGGGCTTCAGTCATCAGGGTGGCTCAACTGAGCTGGAATCTCCAAGATGGCACTTGCAAATGGCTGGCTGTTGATGCTGGATGTTGGTTGAAAGCTCGGCTAGGACTGTTGAATGATGTACCTGCACATGGCCTCTCCATTTGATTCAGACTTCTTGGAGGATAGCATCTGGGTTTCAAGAGGGGATGTCACAAGAGAGCTTTCTAAAATAGAGAAGGCGGCTGGGCATGGTGGCTCACGTCTGTAATCCCAGCACTTTGGGAGGCCGAGGTGGGTGGATCACCTGAGGTCAGGAGTTCAACATCAGCCTGGCCAACATGGTAAAACCCCGTCTCTACTAAAAACAAAATTAAAAAAAATTAGCCGGGTGTGTTTGTGCACACCTGTAATCCCAGCTACTCAGGAGGCCGAGGCAGGAGAATTGCTTGAACCTGGGAGGCGGAAGTTGCAGTGAGCCGAGATCACACCACTGCACTCCAGCCTGGGCAACAGAATGAGACTCTGTCTCAAATAAATAAATAAATAAATAAAATAAAGAAGGCAAAAGTTGTTTGTCCCTTTAAAGACTAAGCCTGGAACTGACACAGTTTCTCTTCTTCTACAGTCTTAAGGAAAGGCCAGATTCAAGGGGAGGGAAAATAAACTCTACCTCTCTATAGGGACAGTGACAAAGAATTGGAGGCCATCTTTAGTCTGTCATGTGTTATGGTCAATGGAAATAGATATATATATATTTACTGAGTGCCTGAGTCCCACCGAGAGATTTTAATTATTTTTTTATTTTTGTTTTTTTAAGATGGAATTTTGCTCTTGTTGCCCAGGCTGAAGTGCAATGGCATGATCTCAGCTCACTGCAACCTCTGCCTCCCGGGTTCAAGCGATTCTCCTGCCTCAGCCTCCCAAGTAGCTCGGATTACAGGCAAGTGCCACCACACCCAGTTAATTTTGTATTTTTTAGTAGAGATGGGATTTCTCCATGTTGGTCAGGCTGGTCTTGAACTCTTGACCTCAGGTGATCTGCCCACCTTGGCCTCCCAAAGTGCTGGGATTACAGGTGTGAGCCACCGTGCCCAGTCGAGATTTTAATTTTTATAATGGGTATAGGATGAGGCCTGGGTGTCTCATTCTGTGTTTTAAATGTTCCTGGGAAATTCTAATGTGCAGTCAAGTTTGAGAACCACTGGGTTGGAACACATAACCTCCTTCCCATCTCAGACCCTGAAACATCCTGAAAACTCCTGTATCTGGAGTTTTTCCCCCATTTTTGCTTGGCTAACTTTGACTCTTCCCTCAGAAACCAGCTTCAGAATCTTTTCTTTAGCAAAGACTTCCCTGCAAGTTCTTTAACAGCACTTATCTCAGCTGTGACAAAATCATCAATGGTGTAATTGTGTCTTTTTAATGTCTTTTCCCCTATTCTTCATAATCGTCAAAGTAAAGGATAGCTCTTCTCTCAGTCAGAACTATTAATAGATGCTGTAATGGAAATGAAACAAGACTCTCAGACTCTTGTTAAAGTAAGAAGTCTAGCAGAGTCTCAGGCTTTAATTTTTTTTTTCCGATCATAAATGTGGGAGAAAGATCATTTAACCTGCTGCTAAGGTTTGAATATTTGTTCCCTTGAAAACTCATGTTGAACCAGCCTGGGCAACATAGGGAGACCCTGTCTCTACAAATAATTTAAAAATTAGCCAGGTGAGGTGGCACATGCCTGTGATCCCAGCTACTCAGGAGGCTGAAGTGGGAGGATCACCTGAGCCCAGAAAGCTGAGGATGCAGTGAACCGTGATTGCACCACTGCACTCCAGCCTGTGCAACACAGTGAGACCCTGTCTCAAAAAATAAATAGGTAAATAAGCTGAGTGTGGTGGCTCACACCTGTAATCTCAGCACTTTAGGAAGCCAAGGTGGGCAGATCACATGAGGTCAGGAGTTTGAGACTAGCTGGCCAACATGATGAAACCCTGTCTCTACTAAAAATACAAAAATTACCCGGGCATGGTGGCACGTGCCTGTAATACCAGCTACTCAGGAGGCTGAGGCAGGAGAATCACTTGAACCTGGGAGGTGGAGGTTATAATGAGCTGAGATCATGCCACTGCTGTCCAGCCTGGGTGACATAGCAAGACATTGTCTCAAAAAATACATAAATAAATAATAAATAAATAAACTTATGGTGAAACTGAATCCCTAATGTGGCCGTATTGATAGGTCGGGCATTTAAGAGGTGATTGGGTCATGAGGACTCTTTTCTCATGAATGAACTAATCCATTCATGGATTAATGGATTAGTGAGTTAATGGATTAATGGGTTACCCTGGGAGTGAGACTGGTGGCTTTATCAGAAGAGGAAGAGAGACTTAAGTAGCACGCTCAGCTCTTTTGCCCTGTGATGCCCTGTGCCACCTCGGAACCCTCCAGAGAGTCCCCAACAGCAAGAAGGTCCTCACCAGATGCAGCCCCTCCACCTTGGACTTTCCAACCTCCATTAACTACAGGAAATAAATTCCTTTTCTTTATAAGTTATCTGGCTTCAAGTGTTCTGTTCTAAGCAACAGAATACAGACTAAGACACAGACACCAATGCATAGCTTCTGATTTAACAGAATTGTTTTTACAAGCATTTATTCTGCTTGGAAATTCAGATGTCAATCATAAGATTGTTACCAGGGCAACAAAATATTAAGTAAGACCACCAAATGGCACCAAGGTTTCTCCTTCAAAATAATGATTGCAATACTGGCAATAATTTCTAATGTCTTTGGACTCCTACAAGATTATTTTGTGCAAATTACACTTCAAAGCACAGATTTATGGAACCACAGAATGGAACACTGGCTGCTGTAATAAATATCCATAGATCTCCATACTACATAAGACTATAAAACACATTTAGAGCCTTTTTAATATTCTCAGTTTATTAACTTATCAATCCACATTCCATTTTTTTGTTTGTTTGTTTTGTTTTGTTTTTTTACTTTAAGTTCTAGGGTACATGTGCATAATGTACAGGTTTGATACATGTGCCATGTTGGTTTGCTCCACCCATCAAGTTATCATTTACATTAGGTATTTCTCCTAATGCTATCCCTCCCCCAGCCCCCCACCCCACTCTGTTTTTTTTTTTTTTGTTTTTTTTTTTTTAAGACAGGGTCTCACTGTGTCACCCAGGTTGGAGTGCAGTGGTGTGATCTCGACTCACTGCAACCTCTGCCTCTCGGGTTCAAGTGATTCTCTTGCCCCAGCCCTCCCAAGTACAAGGAATTACAGGGTTGTGCCACCACGCCGGGCTAATTTTTGTACTTTTAGTAGAGACAGTGTTTTGCCATGTTGGCCAGGGCTGGTCTCGAACTTCTGGGCCCAAGTGATCCGCCTGCCTCGACCTCCCAAAGTTCTGGGATTACAGGTGTGAACCACCATGCCTCGCCTAAACTACATTCTTGAATTAGTTTTATGGCACAGAATATCTTTTTCTCCTCTCTCAATGCCCTCTCTCTCTCTAGCTCCCTCTCCTCCCCTACAGCTGCAAAGAAGAGATCTTCTTAATCCATTTCTTAAACTTCTTTTGATCAATTATAAAGAATTTTTTTTTTTAGATGGAGTCTCACTCTGTCACCCAGGATGGAGTGCAATGGCACAATCTCAGCTCACTGCAACCTCTGCCTCCCGGGTTCAAGTGATTCTCCTGCCTCAGCCTCCCAAGTAGCTGGGACTACAGGCATGTGCCACTACGCCCGGCTACTTTTTTTTTTTTTTGTATTTTTAGTAGAGACGGGGTTTCACCATGTTAGCCAGGATGGTCTCGATCTCCTGACCTCATGATCCGCCCACCTCAGCCTTCCAAAGTGCTGGGACTACAGGCGTGTGCCACTACACCCGGCTACTTTTGTGTGTGTGTGTGTGTGTGTTTAGTAGAGACGGAGTTTCACCATGTTAGCCAAGATGGTCTCGATCTCCGGACCTTGTGATCCACCCGCCTCAGCCTCCCAAAGTGCTGGGATTACAGGTGTAAGCCACTGTGCCCGGCCAATTATAAATATTTTTTAAGGCTAAACTCTGGAATTTTGCTAGTTAGCCTTAAAAGCACAAAGCAGGCCTATAAAGTTCAATTTTACTGGTAGAAAGCAAGAAATGGATGAATAGGATGTTCGCTGACAACCATGCAATTGAAACCTCCTTTGCAAAAATTACGAGAGTGAGCAAACGATGGCAGTGAAGGAGATCGGATCTGGCCAGCCCCTACCTTGCCTTTGGCCCTCAAACTGCTTGTAGTTATTCCTGGGTTTAGGCTAATCTGACTTGTCTCTTTGGGAGACATTTATTTTATTTTCTTTTATATTTCCTTGAGACGGAGTCTCGCTCTGTAGCCCGGGCTGGAGTGCAGTGGTGAGATCTCGGTTCACCGCAACCTCTGCATCCTAGTTCAAGGGATTCTCCTGCCTCAGCCTCCAGAGTAGCTGGAATTACAGGTGCCTGCCACCATGCCCGATTAATTTTTGTATTTTTAGTAGAGACGAGGTTTCACCATGTTGGCCAGGCTGGTCTGAAACTCCTGACCTCAAGAGATCCGCCCGCCTTGGCCTCCCAAAGTGCTGGGATTAGAGGAAAGAAGGAAAGGAAGGAAAAGAAAGGAAAAGAGAGGAGAGGAGAGGGGAGGGGAGGGGAAGGGAGAGAAAGGAAAGGAAAGGGAGAGAAAGGGAAGAGAGAAAGAAAGAAGAAAAGAGAGAAAGAAAGAAAGAAAGAAAGAAAGAAAAATAAAGAAAGAAGAAAAAAGAAAAGAGAAAAGGAAGGAGGGAGGGAGGGAGGCAAGGAAGGAAGGAAGCAAGAAAGAGAGAAAGAGAGAAAAGAGGCTCCTTATAAATAACAAAAGACACCCTTCTCACCAAGGGTTTTTGGAAATTCCAGAGTGATGGGGTGAGAAGGGTGTCTTTGGAACCAAAGCTGAAGACCAAGTACATATTTCTTACTATATCACGGTATCACGGGAGGTAAAACGGAGGTGGCCTTGAAGCAGCTCCTCCCCAGCCCCCAATCCTCTTGTGTGCCCGGAGGATCAGAAGAGGTCCCGCCGAGACTCAGCTTAGCTGTGGTTCAAGCCTCTGATTGCGTGGATAAGTACCAGGTTTCCAGAGTGCCAGGGCGGGGCTGCCCCTTGCGGTGGCATTAACTTTCCATGGCTATTTAAAATCAGCAGAGGACACACGATCTTCAGATGGGTCCTGTTTTACTTCCATATTTTCTCCTAGAGAGAAGAAAAATCATTAAACTTTTTTTTGTTTGTTTTTTGTTTTTTTGTTTTATTCGTTGTTTTTTTTTTTTTTTTTTTTTTTTGAGACGGAGTCTCGCTCTGTGGCCCAGGCTGGAGTGCAATGGCGTGTATCAGCTCACTGCAACCTCTGCCTCCAGGGTTCAAGTGATTCTCCTGCCTCAGCCTCCCGAGTAGCTGGGATTACAGCTTTGTATTTTTAGTAGAGTCGGGGTTTCACTATATTGGCCAGGGTGGTCTCCAACTCCTGACCTCAGGTGATCTGCCTGCCTTGGCCTCCCAAAGTGCTGGGATTACAGGCGTGAACCACCGCACCTGGCCTACTGTATTTTTTTTTTTTTTTTTGAATAGAGAAGGGAGTCTCAAACTCTTGGCCTCAAGCCATCCTCCTGCCTCAGTTTCCCAAAATGCTGGGATTATGAGTGAGCCACTGCACCTATCCCACCCCCTCCCACCCTCATTTTTAGAAGGGCACAGGCTAGAGACCATATTTCCATCAGTCACTTTTGCGGCTAGACCTGTCCATGAGACTAAGTTCTAGCCAATGGGATGCGATAGGAAGATACATGCTCAAATTCTAGGTCCTGCTCTTAAAAAATAATTGTGTGGGCCGGGCGCAGTGGCTCACGCCTGTAATCCCAGTACTTTGGGAGGCTGAGGCAGGCGGATCACGAGGTCAGGAAATCGAGACCATCCTGGATAACACGGTGAAACCCCGTCTCTACTAAAAATACAAAAAAATTTAGCCGGGTGTGGTGGTGGACGCCTGTAGTCCCAGCTACTTGGGAGGCTGAGGCAGGAGAATGGCGTGAACCCGGGAGGCGGAGCTTGCAGTGAGCCGAGATCGCGCCACTGCACTCCAGCCTGGGCGACAGAGCAAGACTCCAACTCGGAAAAAAAAAAAAATAATAATTGTGTGAGCCCTTTTCTCTCTGTCCTCTCCTCTTTCTTGGGGCTCAGAACCAGAAATTAAAGCTACATGTTGATAAAAGCAAAACCATCCCACCTTAACAAGTAAATCGTTGAGATTGCCCAGTGATTTACTGTTAAGTGAGAGAGAGGTACATTTATATCTAGTTTTTTTCCGGTGGTGAAGGAGATTCTTTTTTTCTCTCTCTCTCTCTTTTTTATGAGATGGAGCTTGGCTCTTGTTGCCCAGGCTGGAGTGCAATGGCACGACCTCGGCTCAGTGAAACCTCCGCCTCCCGGGTTCAAGTGATTCTCCTGCCTCAGCCTCCCGAGTAGCTGGGATTACAGGCATGCACCACCACACCAGGCTAATTTTTTGTATTTAGTAGAGACAGGGTTTCACCATGTTAATCAGGCTGCTCTCGAACTCCTGACCTCAGGTGATCCACCTGCCTTGGCCTCCCAAAGTGCTAGGATTACAGGTGTGCGCCACTGCACCTGGCCGGGAGATTCTTTTTTACAACAGCTTAAAGTGCTCTGTAACCAATACACTATGCAGTGATTTGGTTAATACTTTGTGAGTTCCATGAGTGCAGGGTTTATGTCTGCTATTGCTCCCCACTGGACCGCCGGACTCTAGCACAATGCCATGCACGGTAGACATTGAATACATGAGTGATACGAGGATGAATGAGACTAGGGGAAATCAGTGGAAGCCCTAGGCCTGGCACAGTGACTCACTCCTGGAATCCCAGCACTTTGGGAGGCCAAGGAAGGAGGATGGCTTGAGGCCAGGCATTCAAGACCAGCCTGGACAACATGGTGAGATCCCATAGCTATAAAAAGTAAACAATTAGCCGGGCGCGGTGGCTCACGCCTGTAATTCCAGCACTTTGGGAGGCCGAGGGGGGTGGATCACGAGGTCAATAGATCGAGACCATCCTGGCCAACATGGTGAAACCCCATCTCTACTAAAAATACAAAAGTTAGCTGGGCATGGTGGTGGCACACGCCTGTAATCCCAGCGACTCGGGAGGGCGAGGCAGGAGAATCACTTGAACCCAAGAGGCGGAGGTTGCAGTGAGCCGAGATCGCGTCATTGCACTACAGCCTGGCAACAGAGCGAGACTCCATCTCAAAAAAAAAATAATAATAATAGTAATAATAAATTGGCCAGGCGTGGTGATGGCAGTGTTGTCATTGCTTTAAGAGGCAGGAACAGGGGGAAAAGACCCAGCAGTCTAACCACACAGACAAGTCCCAAGTTAGGCACTTCTGTGTGTCTTGGGGGCTGTTGATCAGAAATAACCTATGTGGATCACCCAGCAAAATGACCAGTATGAAAAGATGTTCAGTGGTAGAAAATGAAATAAGCATTGTGACTACAACTCACTCAATAAGCATTCATTGAACACTGGTCACTGGTAAACTGCTATGAAGAAATCTCAGCTGGGTGCGGTGGCTCACGCTTGTAATCCCAGCACTTTAAAGGGAGACCAAGGTGGGCAGATGGATCACTTTAGGTCAAGCGTTCGAGAACAGCCTGGCCAACATGGTGAAACCCCATCTCTACTAAAAACACAAAATTAGCCGGGCATGGTGGCAGGTGCCTGTAATCCCAGCTACTTGGGAGGCTGAGGCAGGAGAATCGTTTGAACCCGGGAGGTGGAGATTGTAGTGAGCTGAGATCACAACACTGCACTCCAACCTGGGAAACAGAGCAAGACTCCATCTCAAAAAGAAAAAAAATCTCAAGCTTATTGGATAGATAAATGCACAGGTAGATAGATGGATATTGAATGAATAAATAGTTCAGTGGATTAAAAACTGGTTAATGAAGAAATGGATGGGTAAATGGATGGAAATATGAATGAATGCATGATGGATAAGGACAAATGAAATAGACAAATGTACAAATGAAAGCAAAGGAAAAAGAGATGCTCAATAGAAATGAATAAGGATGAGAATCAATGCTAGACATGAATGAGTGAATGGTGAATGAAGGAGTGATTGAATGGATGAATACATGGAGTTAAGTTGAAGTACAAACTCGGCCAAGACTTCTTTTTCTCTGCTTTGGGTGGAAATACATTTTTAAAAAAAGAGGGCCGGGCACGGTGGCTCATGCCTGTAATCCCAGCACTTTGGGAGGCTGAGGCGGGCGGATCACCTGAGTTTGGGAGTTCGAGGCCAGCCTGACCAACACAGAGAAACCCTGTTTCTACTCAAAATACAAAATTAGCCAGGTGTGGTGGCTCACACCTGTAATCCCAGCTACTCGGGAGGCTGAGGCAGGAGAATCACTTGAACCTGGGAGGCGGAGGTTGTGGTGAGCCGAGATGGCGCCATTGCACTCCAGCCTGGGCAACAAGAGCGAAAGTCCACCTCAAAAAAAATAAAATAAAATAAAATAAAATAAAAAAAGAGGGAAAAAGGAAAAAAAAAGACTCCCTGATGTGCCACTGACTTCCTGTACATGTTTAGGTAAACTTAATATCACCTCTCTTTCCACCATTTTCCCATTTATAAAGTGGGAAGACTGGATTTGATGACATCACAGCCTCATCCAGGTCTGGTGCCTTCCTTATAACCTGCGTCTCTTCTTTATTCTTTTTTTTTTTTTTTTTTTTTTTGAGACGGAGTTTTGCTCTGTCACCCAGGCTGGAGTGTGCAGTGATGCAATCTCGGCTCACTACAACCTCCGCCTCCTGGGTTCAAGCAATTCTCCTGCCTCAGCCTCCCGAGTAGCTGGGATTACAGGCGCCCGCCACCACGCCCGGCTAATTTTTGTATTTTTAGTAGAGACGGGGTTTCACCATGTTGTCCAGGCTGGTCTCGAACTTCTGACTTCGTGATCCACCTGCCTCGGCCTCCCAAAGTGCTAGGATCACAGGTGTGAGCCAGCACCCCCGGCTTATTCCTTTTTTAAAATTGTTATTATTTCCCACAGCCACATATGCCGGGGAGGTTGTCCCACATATGTTCTACCAAGGCCCCTCTGGCACTGAGATCAAACCCCGGAAGACCCGCTCAGTCTCTCCTCCCGTCTTTTCAACACGTTAGCGCCCCCAGGTGGCTAATTAGACTTCAAAATTCAGTTCTTGAGGCGGGCGGATCACTTGAGGTCAGGAGTTCAAGACCAGTCTGGTCAACATGGTGAAACCCCGTCTCTACTAAAAATACAAACATTAGCCGGACATGGTGGTACGCACCTGTAATCCCAGCTATTCGGGAGGCCGAGGCAGGTGGATCACTTGAGGTCAGGAGTTCGAGACCACCTGGCCAATTTGGCAAAACTCCATCTCTACTAAAAATACAAAAATTAGCTGGGCGTGATAGCGCACACCTGTAATCCCAGCTACTCAGGAGACTGAGGCACGAGAATCACTTGAACCCGGGAGGCGGATGTTGCAGTGAACCGAGATCACGCCACTGCACTCCAGCCTGGGTGGAGTGAGATCTTCTCTCAAAAAAAAAAAAGAAAGAAAGAAAGAAAAAGTCGTGCTTGATTATGCTTGATGGCAAAAAGGTGAGACCTTCCTTTCGGCACTGAGTCTGGTAGAAATCGGTGTTACAGGGTAGCTAACATTTATTGAACACTTACTACGGGCCAGTTACTGCTTTAAATGTTTTATGTGTATTACCCACTGAATCCTACAACAATCCTATGAAGTGGGTTTTATCAGTGCATCCATTTTACCGTCAAGGCAAGAGAGAGTTGGGGAAGGGCGCTTTCTGAATGCTGCTACCGTGTCCAGAGTTGGTTCCTTCCTGTGGGTTTGTGGTCTCGCTGACTTTAAGAATGGAGCCAGGGACCTTCGTGGTGAGTGTTACAGCGCTTAAAGATGGCACGGACCTAAAGAGTTAGCAGCAGCAAGATTTATTGTGTAGAGCAAGAGAACAAAGCTCCCACAGCGTGGAAGCAGACTCTGGTGGGGTGCCGCGCTCGCCAGCTTTTATTCCCTTATTGTCCCCGCCCATGTCCTGCTGATTGGTCCATTTTACAGAGCGCTGATTGGTCCATCTTACAGAGTGCTGATTGGTCCATTTTACAATCCTCTTGTAAGACAGAAAAGTTCTCCAGGTCCCCATTCAACCCAGGAAGTCCAGCTGGCTTCACGTCTCACTACTACCTTTCTGTAGCTGCTACTACTACAGTGAGTAGACGGCAGTGCTGGGATTCGAACCCTCTGTCTTCTGGCTTGGAAGTCTTAACCACTAATCGCGTCTTCCTTTCAGCTACTCCTTGGGAAAGGCCTGGAAAGAAGCTACAGCACAGGGCACAGCGGGGTCTAAGGACCGTTCCGCGGAGCTCAGCCAGCAGGACTGTGGGGCTGCAGGAAAGGACAGTCCAGCCCAGGGTCCCAGCTTCTCCGCCACTCAGGTTGGAAGTCTCGGGCTGCAGTGCTCCTGGGGCTCAGGGGCGGATACCAGCAGGAGCGCGGTTCTGACTGCGCCAGTCAAAAGTGACCAGCGCGCCCAGGGAGATGAGGACCAGCCCGGCCAGCCCCAGGCGGACTAGGTTCCCCCGGGTGTAGTCGGAGGAGCCAGAGTCTGCGGGCGGAGCCGGGAGAGAGGGGCCATCAGCTCCCGGACCCCAAAGTCTGGGCCCTGAACTCCAGGTTTCCAGCCCCTGGGGTGGACTTAGGGACCTGACTCTACAGTCTCAAAGTTGAGGGGGAGTCGATGGAGGCTTCAACTCCTGGGTCCAGGAAGAAGGGGCTGGGGCCTGGACTGCTGGATCAGGAAGGAGGGGCTGGGGGCCTGGAGTCCTGGGTCCAGGAAGGAGGGGCTGGGGGCCTGGAGTCCTGGGTCTGAGGGAGGAGGTACTGGGGCCCGGGAATCCTGGGTCTGAGGGAGGAGGAGCTGGAGGACTAGACTCCTGGATCTGAGGGAGGAGGGGCTGGGTCCCAGGAATCCTGGGTCTGAGGGAGGAGGGGCTGCAGGACTAGACCCCTGGGTCTGAAGGAGGAGAGGCTGGGGGCCTGGGCTCCTGGGTCTGAGGGCGGAGGTCCTGGGGCCTGCATTCCTGGGGCGGAGGAGGCGGGCCGGGCCTCAGGGCCCTCACCTTCCCAGCTGATGACCAGCACCTCGCTGCGCTGCGACAGCACGTAGGGCGCGGAGGGCGTGTGATAGTAGCAGCTGTAGGTGCCGGGGGCGCGGGCGCCCAGCAGCGTGAAGTCGGCCCAGGGCTGCGCGGAGTGGCGGTACTGCAGCGGGGCCGCCACGCCCTCGCGGTACAGCACGAAGCTCATGTTCCGCAGGCGGCCCGCGCAGCGCAGGCTCACGTTGGCGCCAGGACCCACCACCGGCCCGGGCAGCGCCACCAGCGACGGCCGCGGCAGCTCCTCTGCAGAGACGGGGTGAGAGTCCGGGGCCGCGTGAGCGTCTTCCGCTCGCTCGCTCGCTCTGTTTCTCCTTCTCCTCTGTCTCTCGCTTTCTCTGTGCCTCTCTCTCTCTTTCTGCCTCTCTTTCTCTCTGCCTGTCTCTCTCTCTGTCTGCCTCTCTCTCTGCCTCCCTCTCTCTCTGCCTCCCTCTCTCTGCCTCCCTCTCTCTCTGCCTCCCTCTCTCTCTGCCTCCCTCTCTCTCTGCCTCCCTCTCTCTCTGCCTCCCTCTCTCTCTGCCTGCCTCTCTCTTTGCCTGCCTCTCTCTCTGCCTCCCTCTCTCTGCCTCCCTCTCTCTCTGCCTCCCTCTCTCTCTGCCTCCCTCTCTCTCTGCCTCCCTCTCTCTCTGCCTCCCTCTCTCTCTGCCTGCCTCTCTCTCTGCCTGCCTCTCTCTCTGCCTCCCTCTCTTTCTGCCTCCCTCTCTCTCTGCCTCCCTCTCTCTCTGCCTCCCTTTCTCCTTCTGCCTCTTTCTCTCTCTCTCCCCCCGCACTGTACCTCTCTCTCTCTCTGCTCCCCTGTCTCTCTCTCTCTGCTCCCCTGTCTCTCTCTCTCCCCCTAGTGTCTCTGTATCTGTCTTTTCTTGTGTCTGTGAATCTGTTTGCCCGCCTCGCTCTGTCTCTCTTTCCCTATATCTCTCTGTCCCTCCCCCAACTCCCTTGTTCCACCCACTTCTCCTCCCCGACCCCAGGACCTCACCTGTCACCAGCAGCTCCAGGACATCGCTGGGCTGGGACCAGACACCCGGCCCCCAGTCTGGCCTTCGGTAGCAGCAGCGGTAAATTCCCCCTTGGGCTGGAGTCACCTCCTCCAGAAAGAATTCTGCCAGCTCGGAGGACACATCCCGGAAGAGAAGGGGAGCGATCTCTCCAGGCTTGAAAAGTCCAAATCTCCAAGCGGGTTGGGGTGCCCGGCATCTCAAGGTCACGTTGACCCCAGGGGTCACAACTGTAGCCGGCTGAGCTCCCAGCCATGGCTTAGGGTGGTATGAAGCTGGGGGGACTGAATAAACGGGGCTGCCTGGGTCCTCGGGCCTCCTGGGAGCCCCAGAAGATGAAAGGGAAGTTGGGGAAGGAGGAAAATCACCTTGGACAATTACTGCCCCTTTCTTAGCCTCAGTTTCCTGTTTGTAAAATCAGGGAGAGACTGGACTACAATCAAGCCTTGTTAAAACCAGGTGCAAATCAGAGGGGCAGGACAGAAACTTCTGAGCTTTACTCCACAGTTTGTAAACACAGTTTCAAAAGGTCAGGTCCCAGAACTCTGTAATTTTATTATTATTATTATTTTTAAGTAATGAGATGGGAGGGGGCGGTCTCCCTATGTTGAGCAGGTTGGTCTTAAACTACTGGCCTCAAGCAATCCTCCCACCTCGGCCTCCCAAAGTGCTAAGTTTACAAGCTTGTGCCACCACACCCAGACTTTTTTTTTTTTTTTTTTTTTTTTTGAGGCAGGGTCTTGCTGTGTTGCTCAGGCAGGAGTGCAGTGGCATGTTCTCAACTCACTGCAGCCTCAATCTCTTGGGCTCAAACAGTCCTCCACCTCAGCCTCCTGAGTACCTGGGACCACAGGCACATGCCACTACACCAGGCTAATTTTTTTTTTTTAATTTTTAGTAGAGACGAGCATTCGCTATATTGCCCAGGCTACTCTTGAACTCTTGGGCTCGAGCAATCCTCCCACCTCGGCCTCCCAAAGTGCTGGGATTACAGGTGTGAGCCACCACGCCCAGCCAGAACTCTAATTTTAAATAGCTTTCCAGAATATTTGCAATATAGTATTTCAAGAGTTGCCAAAACTTGCTATTTGGAAAAGAAAAATGTTGGATCCCTACCTCATACCATTTCCCAAAACAACTTCCAGATTAATTAAAGACCCTGTGTTTCTTTTTTTTTAAACTATAAAAGTATTCAAAAAACTATAGGAAAATATATTTGTCTTGGGGTAAGGAAGGCTTCTTAAAATATAAAATAAAAAGTTGTATGGAAGATTAATTAATTTGACCACTTCAAATTTCTTAAGTTGTGTATGCTAAAAGACAAAACTGGAGGACAAATGATAGTACTGGCAGATATCACTTATTCACAAATCACACAAATTAAGAGTACAGGAAGGCTGTTGGGTCCGGTGGCTCACAGCTGTAATCCCAGCACTTTGGGAGGCCAAGGTGGGTGCATCACCTGAGGTCAGGAGTTCAAGACCAGCCTGACCAACATGGTAAAATCCCATCTCTACTAAAAACAGAAAAATTAGCCAGGCGTGGTAGTGCTAGCTTGTAGTTCCAGCTGTTTGGGATGCTGAGTAGGAGAATTACTTGAACCCTAGAGTCGGAGGCTGCAGTTAGCTGAGATCATGCCACTGCACTCCAGCCTGGGCAACAGAGTGAGAACTCCATGGTGGCATGCACTTTGGGAGGCTGAGGCTGGAGGATTGTCTGAGCCCAGGAATTCAAAGCTGCAGTGAGCTATGATAGAGCCACCGTACTCCAGCCCGGGTGACACAATGAGACCCCATCTCTAAAAATGAATAAAAATAAGGGTCGGGTGAGGGGGCTCATGTTTGTAATCCCAACACTTTGGGAGGCTGAGGCAGAGGGATCACCTGAGGTCAGGAGTTCCAGACCAGCCTGACCAACATGGGGAAACCCTGTCTCTACTAAAAATACAAAAATTATCCGGGCATTGTGGTGTGTGCCTGTAGTCCCAGCTACTCAGGAGGCTGAGGCAGGAGAATCCCTTGAACCCAGGAGGTGGTTGCAGTGAGCCGAGATTGCACCACTGCACTCCGGCCTGGGCGACAGAGAGAAACTGGTCTCAAAATAAATAAATAAATAAATAAAATAAATAGGTAGAGATAGCTATAGCGACACTGAAATATCTCCAAAAGAGTTTTTGTTTGTTTGTTTGTTTGTTTGTTTTTGAAGTGGAGTCTTGCACTGTCACCCAGGCTGGAGTGCAGTGGCGCGATCTCAGCTTACTGCAACCTCTGCCTCCTGGGTTCAAGCGATTCTCTTGCCTCAGCCTCCTGAGTAGCTGGGATTACAGGTGCGTCCCACCACACCCGGCTAATTTTTTTTTTTTTTTTTTTTTTTTTTTAGTAGAGACGGGGTTTCACCACATTAGCCAGGATGATCTCGATCTGACCTTGTGATCCGCCCGCCTCTGCCTCCCAAAGTGCTGGGATTACAGACGTTGGCCATTGCGCCCAGCCCAAGATCCTATTTCTTAAGCCCTGTACTGTGCCAGGCTCAGGGTTTTGCACATGTGATTTGATGAGATCTCACAGCGGCCCATTTTACAGAGAAGGAAATGGAGTCTTAGCAAGCTGTGACTTGTTCTAGGTCATATGGTCACATATAAATGAATACGATGGTGAAACTGAGGTCCTAGCTTAGGCCTCTGCCTCAGAAGTTCCTGGTCTTCAGTACTCACCTATAATGGCCACTAAGGGGAATGAGAAAAGAAGGAAGGAATGGAGGGAGGGAGGAAAATAAGGATATCTGGGATGGGATTGGGCACCAAAATAAAATCTGAGTAATTGGAAAAGGGGTGTCAGCAACAAAAGGAGAGTGGATGGGGTGGCTACTCACCAGACGGAGTGATGTCTGTGTGACACAGAGGCCCTGTAGGAGGTTGAGGGACTAGTTTCTTTTTCCTTTTTTTTTTTTTGTCTGAGGCAGACTCTCACTCTGTCGCCCAGGCTGGAGTGTAGTGGTGTGATCTCAGCTCACTGCAACCTCTGCCTCCCAGGTTCAAGTGATTCTCCTGCCTCAGCCTCCGTAGTAGCTGGGACTACAAGTGCCCGCCACCACACCAGGCTAATCTTTGTATTTTTAGTAGAGAGGGGTTTCGCCATGTTGGTCAGGCTGGTCTTGAACTCCTGTCCTCAGGTGATCCACCCGCCTCGGCCTCCCAAAGTGCTGGGCCTCGGCTCCCACAGGCATGAGCCGCTGCGCCCAACAGCGAGTTCTTTTCAAAACCCTTTGTGGCCAGCCCCATCTCATTGGTAACCCAGGAATCTGAGTTCCCAGCTCCTATCTCCTCTGGGAAATGAGAATCTTATCCCTCCCTCCTCCTGTCTCAGTAGGCAGAAATTTGGACATCCATTGCCCACCTACCGAAGAAGTCTGAACGCAGACCCCTCTGGCCTGGGCAACCAAGAGTTCAGGCCCTTGAACTCCACCTTTCCAGGGAACAATGATCGTAGAGTTTCTCCTCTCACGAGTTCAGGAATCTGGGTCCCCATTTCCCTCTTCTCTCAGGAGCTAAGAGCCCTGTTCCCAGCCCCCTTTTCCCAGGGAATCAGGAGTCCTGGCTTCCATCCCCCTCCCATATAAGAATCTGGGAGTCCTCCCTGTCTCCTGACCTCTTCCTGCCTCAAGAACCAGAGATACCTGTCCCCACCTCCTTCCTCTTTCGGGAATCTGTGTTCTCTTGCTTTAGGACCCAGGGGTCTGGGCCCCAGCCCTGTTCTTTATTTGAACCTAGAATCCCAAACCTGCTGCCTGGTCCCCCTGCAGGGTGTCTGGGTCTCCATTGCCTCTCTCTCTGCCCCCAACCCCAGCCAGGAACCCAGGGAGAAGAAAGGGGTGACTCACAGAGGGTCAGCAGCTGGAGGATCAGCACCAGGGCCATGGTGGGCAGATACCCGCTAGAGCTGGAGCCAGGGCTTGGTCGCACCCTCTCCCCTCCCAGGAAATGAGGCAACATCAGAAAACCAGACCCAGATCCTCATTTACGGAAGAGAGTATCGAGGTGGGGGCCTGTGGGTGACTGTGTCATAGCCCTATGGCACTGTGGAAAAATTAGCAGGGGGTTCAGTCATAACCTGTGGTGTTCATTTATTTAACTCTAGAAACAAATACTAGTCAGGAGGTGGAGGCAGGAGGATCGCTTGAGCCCAAGAGTTCAAGAGCAGCCTGGGCAACAGAGCGAGACCCTGTCTAAAAAATAAATAAATTGTGCCACTGCACTCCAGCCTGGGTGATAGAGTGAGACCATGTCTTTAAATATAGATAGACAGATAGAAAGATATCTGTCTGTTTTAAAAATAAGAACCTATTATGTGCCAGACTCTTGCTGTCATTGATTGACAGATAGATAAAAATTTGCACCTATTATGTGCCAGGCCCTTGCTGTGATTGAAAGATAGATAGATGGATGGATGGATAGATAGATAGATAGATAGATAGATAGATAAAAATTAGCACCTGTTAAGTGCCAGGCCCTTGCTGTGATTGATTGATGGATAGATAAAAATTAACACCAATTATGTGCCAGGCCCTTGCTGTGATTAATTGATCGATTGATAGATTGGTTGACAGAGAAAAATTAGCACCTATTATGTGCCAGGCTCTTGGTGTGATACTGTGTTAGATAGATAGATAGATAGATAGATAGATAGATAGATAGATAAAAATTAGCCCCTCTAGGCCGGGCGCGGTTGTTCACGCCTGTAATCCCAGCACTTTGGGAGGCCAAGGCGGGTGGATCACCTGAGATCGGGAAGTTCGAGACCAGCCTGACCAACATGGAGAAACCCCCGTCTCTCCTAAAAAAGAAAAATTAGCCGGCTGTGGAGGCGCGCGCCTGTAATCCCAGCTATTCAGGAGGCTGAGGCAGGAGAATCGCTTGAACTCGGGAGTCGGAGGTTGCTGTGAGCCGAGATCGCGCCATTGCACTCCAGCCTGGGCGACAGAGCTAGACTCAATCTCAGAAGAAAAAAAAAAAAATTAGAACCTATTACGTGCCAGACCCTCGCTGTGCCATGTTGGCAGGCACAGAGGGAACTCAGACTCCGTTACTGCTCTCAAGCAGCAGCTACCAGTCCGACTGAAAGACCAAGACCAGGTCAGTTTCCTTTTTTTTTGAGACGGAGTCTCGCTCTGTCGCCCAGGCTGGAGTGCAGTGGTGTGATCTCGGCTCACTGCAAGCTCCGCCTCCCGGGTTCACGCCATTCTCCTGCCTTAGCCTCCCCAGTAGCTGGGACTACGGGCGCCCACCACCACGCCCGGCTAATTTGTGTTGTATTTTTAAGTAGAGACAGGGTTTCACCATGTTAGCCAGGATGGTCTAGATCTCCTGACCTCGTGATCCGCCCGCCTCGGCCTCCCAAAGTGCTGGGATTACAGGCGTGAGCCACCGCGCCCGGCCCAGACCAGGTCAGTTTCTTAAGTGATCTGAGCTATAATGGCGGTAACAGAGCACTGTGAGAGCCCGCAGAAAGCTCCTAACCCATCTGGGATGAGACCTAGCGCTTCCAGGACGAGCCGATGTTGAGCTGAGACCTCGAAGGACAGGTTAGTCATTCACCTTCTCCCGGGCTCAGTTTCTTCGTCTGTAAAATGGGCTTTCATACATAAACTATAAAATGGGGACTATTTTGTTCCGCCTTAGGTGGGTCGCAGCAGGAGGACTAGTCACTCCGGAGCGACTTCTAGGCTGAGACTAAGGAGATTCCACGCAGGTCCGCAAAGTCAGGCTTGCGCTTGCTCCTGACACCACTTCCTTTACCTCCACGGCTCCATCTTTGTTCTGCGCGAGTGCGCACGCGCAGGCTCCGAAAGCGGGCCGTCGCACAGAGGGACCACAACTCCCAGAGTGCTCCGCGTCCTTGCTTTCGCCTCTACTTGTGCTCCAGGGCGCACGCGCAGCCCTGGGAGCGGGTTCTCGCGCATAGGGACCACAACTCCCAGGGTGCTCCGCGTCCTCGCCGCTGTCGCCGCCGCGGAGACAAAGATGGCTGCGAGTAAGTGCAGGTTCCGGTGGCGCACGGGGCTCGGGTAGTTCTGGGAACCTCTGGGCGGTCCTGGGACTGAGGTGCGGCAGGGCAGGGGTGGAAGCGATGGGGTCCGTGCTGGAGGGGAACGCAGAAGTCACGAGGGGGCTCCTCCAGGGCAGGGGTGGCACGAGAGGGTTAGAGGTCACCGGGGGCAGCTACTTGCAGGGGTGACGCTTCTTGCCACCCCTTCAGGAGTCGGCGCCTTCCTCAAGAATGCCTGGGACAAGGAGCCAGTGCTGGTCGTGTCCTTCGTCGTCGGGGGCCTCGGTGCGTGAGTGCTCCAGGCGCAAACTTGCATCGTCCACCCCCGTCCCCCTACATCCCTCCATCTTGTACCCCTAAAGCCCTATCGCCGCCCTCGGGTCCCCTCTAGTGTGTCTGCACCCCCACGGCATCCCCTTATCTATCCCCATACCCATTATAACCTCTCCACCATCGCCCCCCGCGTTCCTCTCCACCTACCCAATACGCTCTTAACCCCTCTAAATGAGACGTTCTCAACCCTGCTTATGCCTTAACACCTGAGCACCAAAAAAAAGTCCAGATCCTCCTCCTCCTTTTCATCTTTCCTCTCCCCCATTCTGAATTGAGTTGGCTTGGGTGGAGGTGGGACTGGGGAATCTGTGTCTTGTGAAAATCCCCGTATGATCCCAATGTGCCTTGCTGATTGAAAATCTCTGCCCTCTGCCCTGGAACTGCCCTACTCACACTTTAATTAGCACCGGAGTTCCTGCAGGGATGGGGGCGGGGGATTGTTAAAATGTAGCTTTTTTTTTTGCGATGGAGTCTCACTCTCACCCAGGCTGAAGTGCAGTGGCGCGATCCCGGCTCACTGCAACCTCGGCCTCCTGGGTTCAAGGGATTCTCCTGCCTCAGCCTCCCGAGTAGCTGGGATTACAGGCGCCCAGCTAATTTTTTGTTTTTGTTTTTGAGACTGAGTCTCGCTCTGTCGCCCAGGCTGGAGTGCAGTGGCGCGATCTCGGTTCAGTGCAAGCCCCGCCTTCCGGGTTCACGCCATTCTCCTGCCTCAGCCTCCCGAGTAGCTGGGACTACAGGCGCCCGCCCCCATGCCCGGCTAATTTTTTGTATGTTCAATAGAGACGGGGTTTCACCGTGTTAGCCAGGATGGTCTCGATCTCCTAACCTCGTGATCCTCCCAACTCGGTCTCCCAAAGTGCTGGGATTACAGGCGTGAGCCACCGCGCCCGGCCAGCTTTTTTTTTTTTTTTTTTTTGAGATGGCGTCTCGCTCTGTCTTCCAGGCTACAGTGCAATGGTTTGATCATGGCTCACTGCAACCTCCGCCTCTAGGGTTCAAGTGATTCTCCTGCCTCCGCCTCCCAAGTAGCTGGGATTACAGGCGAGCACCACCACGCCCGGCTAATTTTTGTATTTTTAGTAGAGACAAGGTTTCACCATGTTGGCCAGGCTGGTCTTGAACTCCTGACCGCAAGTGATCTGCCTTCCCAAAGTGCTGGGATTACAGGGGTGAGCCACTGCGCCCGGCCAAACTGTAGGTTCTGATTCTGTAGGTCTGGGGTGGGGCATGGGATTCTGCATTTTTGAAGAGTTCCCAGGTCTTGTCAGTACTGCTGGTCCACCAGCCAGGCACTAGGTTAAGGTTCTGAACACTTATTCAGTATGGCAGCCACCAGCCACAACTGGCCACTGAGCATTTGAAGTGGTGCTGGTATGAATTGAGGTGGTATAAGACACTGGATTTCAAAAACTTAGTATAACAGAGTGTGTAAACTACCAATAATCTTTTGTTGATTACATGGCGAAGTGATGTTTTGGATGTACTATGGTTTTTTTTGTTTGTTTGTTTTTGTTTTTTTGAGACGGAGTTTCGCTTTTGTCCAGGCTAGAGTGCAATGGCCTGATCTCGGCTCACTGCAACCTCCGCCTCCCGGGTTCAAGCGATTCTCCTGTCTCAGCCTCCTTAGTAGCTGGGATTACAGGCGCATGCCACTACACCTGGCTGTTTTTGTATTTTCAGTAGAGACGGGGTTTCATCATATTGGTCAGGCTGGTCTCGAACTCCTGACCTCAGGTGATCCACCCGTCTCAGCCTCCTAAAGTCCTGGGATTATAGGCATGAGCCACCTCGCCCATCCAAGTATGTTTCTTAAAATTTGTTTCATCTGTATCTCTTATTTTTACTGTAGCTACTAGAAGATATAAAATTATATACCTGGCTCTTACCATCTGTCAGACAGCACTGGCCTAGAACATTCCTTTTATGAACTGTACCCCATCCCCCAGGACTCCTGGCTCCCACCCTAAATGGACTGTGGTCAGTGACTGTTGTTTGTGCAACCCTTTCTCCTCCAGTTTGTAAGGCTTTTTTTTTTTTTTTTTTTTGGTGATGGAGTCTCTCTCTGTTGCCCAGGCTGGAGTGCAATGGCACAATCTGGGCTCACTGCAACCTCTGCCTCCCAGGCTCAAGGGATTCTTCTGCCTCAGCCTCCTGAGTAGCTGGGATTACAGGCTCCTGCCACCACGCCCGGCTAATTTTCGTATCTTTAGTAGAGATGGGGTTTCATCATGTTGTCCAGGCTGGTCGCGAACTCCTGACCTCAGGTGATCCGCCCACATTGGCCGCCCAAAGTGCTGGGATTACAGGCTTGAGCCACTGTGCCCGGCCAAATTTGTAACAGTCTTGATTTCTCCAGAACAGTCCCATGACACTACCCCCAGGATGCTCCATGATGACCCTACACTCAAACGTGCTCATTCCATGACCAACCCCACTGCTGCCTCCTCCAGGCCCCACGTATCTGTGAGTGTTAGGCTCCAACCCCTACCTCCACTTAACCCCCCAAAAAAGAGTTTTAAACCCTCCTGTCTATAAGTAGGGATCCCAAGGTACCAAGGATCCTCCTGGACGTGCTGGCCCTCCCTGCTGCCCTCCCCCTGCGCACTTTATCTTCCCTTTGCCAAGGCTCACCTTCTCTTCCCCTCTCTTCAGAGCCACCTTCCCCTGGGCCTCACCCCTGTGTCTCTCCACAGCTGTAATTCTGCCCCCATTGAGCCCCTACTTCAAGTACTCCGTCATGATCAACAAGGCCACGCCCTACAACTACCCAGGTGAGTGGGGGCCAGGCAGGGATCCCCGGAATAGGCCCAGCCTCCCTGTGCTGGCGTAAGGGCAGTTATGGGCAGGTCTTTCCTAAGCAGTTATCAGAGATTCTGCAGTGGTGCCCGGACCCCCCGTTCCATTTTTTAAGAATTGAGATATAATTCGTATACTATTCTGTGTTTGTGCTTCGTTTTTGTTTTTTTGGGTTTTTTTGAGACAGAGTCTCGCTCTGTCGCCAAGGCTGGAGTGCAGTGGCGCGATCTCAGCTCACTGCAAGCTCAGCCTCCCGAGTAGCTGGGACTACAGGTGCCCGCCACCACGACACGCAAACTTTTTCGTATTTTTTTAGTAGAGGCGGGGTTTCACCGTGTTAGCCAGGATTGTCTCGATCTCCTGACCTTGTGATCCACTCACCTCGGCCTCCCAAAGTGCTGGGATTACAGGTGTGAGCCACCGCGCCTGGCCTGTGCTTCGAGTTTCTATTACCTTTCCAGATTTCTGTCTCTCTCTGGGTTCCCATCTGTGGTGGTTTCTTGGTCTCCATCTTCTCAGGTTTCTGTCCTGTTTCCCCATCTCTTTTGACCCTAGCTCTCTAGTGCGCGGGATCTCTCCCTCGCTATCTCTCTGGTTTTCCGTGTCTCTCAGTCTCTGTATTTCCCGCCTCTTTCTGCATCACTGATTCTCTGACCCTTCCCCTCTCACCCCTGGGGTCCCCCTTCCCTCTCTGAACATAAAGCGACAGACCAGCTCTTCTCTCCAGGGCCCTGGAGACGTGCTGGTCTCAGTGGCCCACCTCCTGCCCCACAGTGCCCGTCCGTGATGATGGGAACATGCCCGACGTGCCCAGCCACCCCCAGGACCCTCAGGGCCCCAGCCTGGAGTGGCTGAAGAAACTGTGAGCACCTCCACTGACAGAGGCGGCCCCTCCCACGGCTCCCAATAAAAATGTGAAAACCAACCCCCGAACGTGAGCATGTGTGTGATCAGAGGTGGGAACAAGTAGACGGTGGCCGGGGTGAGTGTGGGGTCAGTTTATTGGGCATGCGTCAGTCAGAGGCTGGGCTGGCCAGGGTCGGGTAGGGCAGCAGTTTGTCTGGACCCCGAGAAACCCAACTGGAATCCAGGGCCTCATCTGCTTCAAAGCCAAAGTCTTCCTCAACCTTAATCTGCAGGAGATAAGGAACAAGGTGTTAACAGGCCTGGGAATCTAGAAAATCCCATCAGCTTCACCATTTTTGTTTTCATTTTGTTTTGCTTTTTAAAGAGACAGGGTCTCACTCTGTTGCCCAGGCTGGAGTGCAGTGGTGCCATCATAGTTCACTGCAGCCTCTGCCTCCCAGGCTCAAGTGATCCTCCCACCTCAGCTTCCCAAGTAGCTGGGACTACAGGCACTTGCCAACCAAGCCTAACATGTTTTTTCTTTTTGGTAGAGATGGGGTCTCAGTATGTTGCTCAGGCAGGTCTCAGACTCCTGGCCTCAAGTGATCCTCCCACCTAGGCCTCCCAAAGTGCCGGGATTACAGGCATGAGCCACTGCACCTGGCCAGCCTCACAGTTCTTGTCTGCCCAGGCCAGTCACCTTCCTCCTTACACCTCAGAGGCAATCCCAGTGTTCCTGGGTCCAGATGTTCTTCCAGCTTTCCTCCCCACACTGGGCCTTCCCTTCCACTCCGTCTTCTCTGATCCTTCCTTCTCCTCTACTCCCAGCCTTCTCTAGCTATTTTTCCTTCTCCAGGTCTTCCTCTTTCCCTTTCCAACTTTGCCTCCTTTTTACCCAAGCCTTTACCCCACTTTTTCCAACTACTTCCCTGCCTGATCCTAGGCCTCCAACATGTCCTGGTTCACCTCCCTTCTCCAACTTTCCCCAGCCCTGGGCCCCTCGGGGTGCAGAACCAAAACCCAAGAGCCCTGAACCTAACTCAGCCCCAGCCCTGGCCCCTCCCCTTGAGTCCCCCCTCCTTACCTGCACTGGCGCCGGCTCTGGAGCCCCAGTCCCTCCCCTTGAGTTCCCGCCTTCCTCACCTGCACCGGGGCCAGCTCTGGAGTCAGCGCATTTCCTGCTCGGCGTCCATCCCGTGGCACTCGCCGCCTCTTCCGCCCACTGGGCCCCTCACCGGGGGCTGGGCTGCCGGGTTCTGGGGGTGCAGGAGTCCTTCTGGGCGGGGACAGTGTCTCTTTCTCTGGAGGCTCATTCTCCGCATTGCCTGGGGTGGGGGCATCCGTGCCCTGGCTGCCCTCATCCTGGCAGGCAGGAGGGGGAGGTAGGTGATGGGTGGGTCCTGAGCTCCCAGTTCCTGACCCTCCTGGAGGCCCAACACTCACCTCCAGCACAATGGTGAACTGGCTGGCCCGGTAGTCATCCCCGTAGGAGTCCAGCACTCTCATGAGGAACCTGCTCAGGGGGAGAAGCCACCAACGGAATAACTTATCTCCTAGCGGCTGGGGAAAAGGGCCACAGGATAGAGCTCAGCTCCCACTCCACTCAACGCCAAAGCTGTCCTGGAGCCAGACGGTCCTGAGCTCTGGCACTGGAGGCCTGGGAGCCATGCCCTTGACCAGCCTTGAGACCTCGAGCAAGACAAGGCAACCATTCTGAGGCTGAGTTTCCTGCTCTGCAAACGACATGACACCCTCGGCTGGATGTTGCAGCGGTGACACTGAAGTAGTGACACCAGACGATTTCTGTACTTAATGTGATGTCAGCACTTAGTAAACATTCATATGTGAGTTATAATTTTTATTGATAACTGAAGAGAGGGGAGTACAGAACGCTCCTCCTAATGACCTCACCTCTTATAAACACCCCCTTCTCTTTTTTCCCCAGCCCCTGCCTCCAGAGTTCCTTAAGGTTCAATTGATGGAATGCCTCCTCTGCACCAGCACCTGGGCAGGTTTGTTGTTGTTGTTTTGCGACGGAATCTCACTCTGTCACCCAGGCTGGAGTGCAGTGGCGTGAATTTGGCTCACCACAACCTCCACCTCCCTGGTACCAGCGATTCTCCTGCCTCAGCCTCCCGAGTAGCTGGGACTACAGGCGCCTGCCACTACACCCGGCTAATTTTTTTGTATTTTTAGTAGAGACGGAGTTTCACCGTGTTAGCCAGGATGGTCCCGATCTCCTGACCTCGTGATCCGCCTGCCTCGGCCTCCCAAAGTGCTGGGATTACAGGCATGATGAGCCACTGCGCCCGGCCTATTTCAACTTAAGTGAAAATCTCACCTGTGGCCAGCGGCTACCGTGCTGGACAGCACAGGTACGGACAGAGGAACCCTGGGAGCCGCAGGTTTCAGCTTTGGGGAGGGAGGATGAACTAGCAAAGGCAGCCAAGAAGGAACAGCCGGAAAGGCAGGAGACCCCAGGTTGCTGGGTGCCCAGGATGGCAAGAATGGGCTCCAGGGAAGAGCACATAGCCCTGGGCCACTGTGCCGAGCCTGAGCCAAGGACTGAGATGAGAACTGTGGTTGACTCAGCAACGTGGAGCCATTCCTACAAAACTTGCTCCAGTTTTGCTGGTACAGGGACACTGCGAGTGGCAGGGGCAGCAGCCACCTGGGCAGGTTCTGTGGAGACACACAGTGGGAAGCTCTGAGCTCAGCTCACCACCTGCAAGCTCCGACAACCCTGCCGCAGCCTCATGATATTGGTGCTGCCCTTAGTTGATAGGAAACAGCTCAGAGAAGGGACACTGCTTGCTTAGAGTCACACAGCAAAAAAAAAAGAAAATACTTGCAGTCAGGTCTGTGCTCGTGTGCCTTCCATCCTGCTGTTCCCTCCCTTCAGGGGGAGGAGGCCCTCCACCCGGCCCTCCCTCAGTCCCAGTGCTCAGCCCTCTCCACCCGGCCCTCCCTCAGTCCCAGCGCACAGCCCCTTCCACCCGGCCCTCCCTCAGTCCCAGTGCTCAGCCCTCTCCACCCGGCCCTCCCTCAGTCCCAGTGCTCAGCCCTCTCCTCCAACACCGAATCCCACTCTTCCTCCTTGTTTGCCTCAGCCCCCGGCCCTCATCTCCGGCTTCTCCTTGTGGCTTGTGAGGGTTGGGTGGATGTGGAAGTGGGAGAGACAGAGGGGCTGGGAGCATTTGGGAGCTGAGGCTCACAGGCCCAGAGGGGACGGAGAAGGGGTTACCTCCGTTCCTGCTGCAGCCTCCGAGTTATCCTCTGCACCTGATGGAGCCTGTTCAGGACCCGCTCGTTCACCTATGGGGTGGGAAACGCCCATCAGCTGGATCCCACGGCTCCCGTTCATTTGTTTAACGGATGTTTAATGGGGCACGCACTAAACTCTGGAGACTGGCCAAAGACCATCCCGTGGCCTGAGGTCCTTCCACCTTCCCATCCCTCCGGCTCCCCTCTCACCATGCCACAGTCCTGAGTGCCCTCCAGTGGGGGCCTTCCGCGTGCTGTTCCTCTACCTGGACCCTCTCCCCAGTCATCCGCACAACTTACTCCCCACTCCAAGTCTTAGGTCAACTGTTACCTGCTCAGAGAGCCTGAACCTCCCATTAAGTCGAAACACACCAGGCCAGGTGCGGTGGCTCACGCCTGTAATCCCAGCACTTTGGGAGGCCGAGGCGAGTAGGTCCCCTGAGGTCAGGAGTTCGAGACCAGCCTGGCCAACATGATGAAACCCCATCTCTACTAAAAATACAAAAAATTAGCTGGGCGTGGTGGCAGGTGCCTGCAGGATAGTCGCACGAACCTGGGAGGTGGAGGGGTGAAGTGAGTTGAGATCACCCCACTGCACTCCAGCCTGGGCAACAGAGCGAGGTTCTGTTTCAAAAAAAAAAATTGCAACACACCCGACCCCCCTTCCCATGCCAGAACCCCACCCGGCCATTCACTCCTGGCTTTATTTCCTCCTAGTGCTCATCTGAGGAGGCAGGACGCAGCCTCTCCGCCTCTTTGCTTATTCTGCTGACTGACCGCCTCTCCAGCCAGAGCATGAGCTGAAAAACGACAGCAACTTGTTTCTACATCCCGTGCCTTAACCAGAGCCTGGCACGTAGTACATCCTCCATGAACATTTGCAGAATCAATGACTTTGCAAAGTGAGAAGTGCTTGGTGAATACCAAAGAGTCAGACATGCTGGAGGTTAGGGCAGGAGGTGCGACTTTAGTTACGACCTGCAGAGAAGGCCCGTGGGCCCAGACTTGAATAAGGAGGAGACAAAGGGGTGACAGGAGGAAAGTATGCCAGGCTGAGGGGACAGCCCTGCACGCAGCTTCTGAGGACTCCAGCCTAGACATGGAGGGAGAGATGTGACTCAGCCAAACAGGGACCCAAAGACAGTGGCTGAAGCAGGTGCTGCTCCTGGGTCAGAAAGACCTGAGTTCCGGGCGGGGCACAGTGGCTCACGCCTGTAATCCCAGCACTTTGGGAGGCCGGGGCGGGCAGATCACTTGAGGTCAGGAGTTCAAGACCAGCCTGGCCAACATGGTGAAACCCCGTCTCTACTAAAGATACAAAAATTGGCCGGATGTTGTGGCACATGCCTGTAATCTCAGCTACTCAAGAGTTTGAGGTCGGGAGTTCCAGACCAGCCCGGCCAACATGATGAGACCTCATCTCTACTAAAAAAAAAAAAAAAAAAAGAAAAATACAAAAATTAGCTGGGTATGGTGGCGCATGCCTGTAATCCCAGTTTCTCAGGAGGCTGAGGCAGGAGAATCGCTTGAACCCAGGAGCTGGAGGTTGCAGTGAGCCGAGATCACACCACTGCCCTCCAGCCTGGGTGACAGAGTAAGACTCTGTCTCAAAAGAAAAAAAAAAAAAAAAGTGCCAGGCACGGTGGCTCACGCTTGTAATCCCAGCACTTTCAGAGGCCAAGGCGAGCGGATCACCTGAGGTCAGGAGTTTGAGACCAGCCTAACGTGGTGAAACCCTGTCTCTACTAAAAATACAAAATTAGCCAGGTGTAGTGGCGCATGCCTGTAATCCCAGCTACTCGGGAGGCTGAGGCAGGAGAATCGCTTGAACCCAGGAGGCGGAGGTTGCAGTGAGCTGAGATTGCAGCATTGCACTCCAGCCTGGACAACAAGAGCGAAAATCCATCTAAAAAAAAAGAGTTCAAGTTTTGGCTCTGGCTTGGCACAGTGGCTCATGCCTATAATCCCAGCACTTTGAGAGGCCAGGAGTTCGACACCAGCCTGGGCAACAGAGTGAGACCCCAACACTCAAAAACTAACCAAAAAAATTAGCTGGGCTTGGTGGCTGTAGTCCCAGCTCCTTCGGAGGCTGAGATTGCTAGAGTCCAGGATGTTGGGGCTGCAGTGAGCCACAGTCATGCCACTGCACTCCAGCCTGGGCAACAGAGAAAGACCCTGTCTCAAAAAAAAAAAAAAATCTCAGATCTGCCACTGCTGAGCTCTGAGCTTGGGTGCATTACTTAACCTCTCTGAGCCTTGATTTTCTATACTTGTAAAATAGTAGTAATCTATTCCTGGGGGTGGATTAATGGCAGAGGCTCCAGTTGAGTCCGTTTGGGCCTTGGTGTCTGTCTGTTAAACAGGGTTTGGAATATGCCCCTGGCCTCTAGCCTTCCTCCTTACAGAACTCCCCAATACTGTCATTAAGAATTGAGGCCAGATGTGGTGGCTCATGCCTGTAATCCTAGCATTTTGGGAGGTCAAGGCGAGTGGATCACTTGAGGTCAGGAGTTCAAGACCAGCCTGGGCAACATGGCAAAACCCCATCTCTACAAAAAGTACAAAAATTAGCCAGGTGTGGTGGTGTGTGCCTGTAGTCCCAGCTATTTTGGGGGCTGAGGCAGGAGGACTGCTTGAACCTGGGAGACTGAGGCTGCAATGAGCTGAGATTGCGCCACTGCACTCCAGCTTTGGTGACAAAGTGAGAACCTGTCTCAAGAAAGAGAAAAAGAGTTGAAGGCCAGGCGTGGTGGCTCAAGCCTGTAATCCCAGCACCTTGGGAGGCTGAGGTGGGCAGATCACCTGAGGTCAGGAGTTTGAGACCAGCCTGACCAACATGGTGAAACCCTGTCTCTACTAAAAATAGAAAAATTAGCTGGGTGTGGTGGCGGGCGCCTGTAATCCCAGCTACTAGGGAGGCTGAGTCAGGAGAATCACTTGAACCCAGGAGGTGGAGGTTACAGTGAGCTGAGATGGTGCCATTGCACTCCAGCCTGGGAGACAAGAGCGAGACTCCACCTCAAAAAAAAAAAAAAAAAAAAAAAAAAAGTTGAATTATTTCCCCCAAAAGAGGGTGTTGAGGCTTTAACCCCCAGTACCTCAGGATCACCTTATATGGAGACAGTGTCGTTACAAAAGTAATCAAGTTCAAATGAAGCCAGTGGGTGGGCCCTAATCCAGTATGACTGGAGTCCTTATAAAAAGGGTAAATTGGGACACAGACACACACACAGGGAGCAGCAATGTGAAGATGAAGGCGGAGATCAGGGTGATGTTTGTACGTGCCAATGACTGCCAGAAACCTCCAGAAGCCAGGGGAGAGGCCTGGAAGATTCTCACAACCCTGTCGACACCTTGCCTTGGATGTCTAGCCTCCAGAACTGTCAGACAGGAATTTCTGTGCTTGAGGGACCCTATTTGTGATAAGTTCTGGGAGTCCAAGCAGACTAATACAACTGTCTTCAGAGTTTCAGGCATCCAGACCTGATGCTGTTCCTCCCCCATTTGAAACCCTTCAGTGGCTCCTTCACTCTCAAGGAAAAAAAAATATCCAGACTTCTTGTCCTGGTGTTCCTGGCCTGCCAAGATCTGAGCCCTGCCTGCTGTTTAATCCTCATTGATTGATTGATTGATTTTGAGACGGAGTCTCACTCTGTCACCCAGGCTGGAGTACAGCAGCATGATCTTGGCTCACTGCAACCTCCGCCTTCCGGGTTCAAGCAATTCTCATGCCTCAGCCTCCCTAGTAGCTGCGACTACAGGTGCGCACCACCACACCTGGCTAATTTTTTTGTATTTTAGTAGAGATGGGGTTTCACCATGTTGGCCAGGCTGGTCTCGAACTCCTAACCTCAGGTGATCCGCCTGCCTCAGCCTCCCAGTGCTAGGATTACAAGCGTGAGCCACCATGCCCAGCCCATCCTTATTCTCAGCAAGGAGGCTATTGCAGTCATTCAGCCCAGACAGCTGGAGTTTGCAATGGCAGCCATAGGGATGGAGGAGAGGAGAAGGGTCCAGAGACACTCAAGAGGCGGAATGAATGAGTCGAGAGGAGTGAATCCTGGCAGGGGTATGGGAGATGTGAAGAGCTTGGGCTTTCACCTGTGAGCGGTGCCACGCATTGAGAGGCCCCCGGGAGACATCAGAGAACCCATCTGCGTTGTCAGGGAAGCTCCACGGGAGATGGCCCTTCCAGGGGCCCGGCACAGGGCCAGACACATAATGCATGCTAAATGACTGAATATATAAGCTAAATGACTGAATATATCAGCAAGCCAAGAAAGGCTGGGCATGTGGAAAGGCAGAGATTGCGGGGGGCGGTAGTTTAGGCCAGGGGACCCCAAAACCGGGGGATCCGCACTCACCTACCTGCTCGATCTCCCGGCAGCGCCGACCTAGTGCCTGGTACTTTCTGCGATTTAATTCCCGCTGGCGCCGCCGCCGACCCCGGGCTGCCTCTTCCTCTTCATCTCGCTCCCGGAGCCCTGAGCCGCCCAGACCACCTGACACAAACTCCACTTCCGTCTCCAGCTCGCTCTCCAGGATGTGGCCACCAAATAGGGGAGGCAACGCCAACTCTGAGCCTGGCGGCGCTGAGAACTCCTCAAAGCCCACGGCTGCCATGGTCCTGAGAGGCAGGGAAAGGCTCAGGGGCCCTGGATCCTGGACCCCCAGCCCCTTCTCCCACTGAACCAGGAGCCCAGACCCCAACCCCTCCTCCCTGAGATCCTAGAATCCAGGCCCCCAGCCCCTCCTCCCTCAGACCGTAGAATCCAGCTCCCAGCCCTCCTCCCTCAGACCCAGAAGTCCAAGTCCGCAACCCACCCTTCGCAGCACCCACAGGGTTCAAGCCCTGACCCCCTCCTCCCAGGATGCAAGAGTCCAGACCTCCAGACTTTTTCTCTCCAAGGACCCAGGGAGTCCAAGCCCCAACCCTCAACCAGACGCAAGAGTCCTGGCTTCCAACCTCCTAGTCTGTCAGATCCAGCAGTCCAAACCCCTAACCTTCTCCTCCCTCAGGATGACCCCAGTCCATAAAAGGGTTCTAAGGTAAAGCAGTTGCATGAACTACAACCCCCATCAGACCTCAGCGTAAAAGCTCATATGGTTGCACACAATGCAGCTGCACTGTTTTCTGGGATTCGCACTTTTTCACAAGGGCTCAGCCACATACCCTTCTCTCTGCTCCAATTCCATCTCCGCGACCTCCGGAAGCCCCGGGCCTCAGAGCTTCCGACCTCTTCAATCTGTAGGTTAAGCCGTTCGCAAAACTACTTGTCCCATCAGGCTCAGCAGCCGAGGACGGCGGGACGTGGCCCTAGGCCTTGTGGGAGTTGTAGTTTCCTGTTTCCGGCTTCGCTTCGGCCCACCCCCACGTCCACCCCGAATCCCTGCTTAAAGGCCTTGCTTTCTTGTCTAACGCCGCAACCAGTCCTCTGAGTTGCCAACGTCTTTCTTCTTGTCTCGACGCCCCGTCGTCCGGCCACAGCGATTCTCTGCTTAGCAGGATCGGTCCACAGCGGGACGTGAGTCCCTTTCCTCCTCGCGGCTTACCGCCTCTCTCCGCCTAGTGCCAGGTGCTAATAAAGTTGTTGTTTCAAATGCGGCCAGGAACATCGCGAGCGGGGACCAATCAGAGAGTAGCTTTGCCTCTATAACGGCGCGAGAGTGAGACGTCATCGGTGAGCGACTAACGCTAGAAACAGTGGTGCGCGGAGAGGAGAGGTGAGTGTGATGGAGACCACGGGGAGCGGGAGGCTGGGCTCCTGGGTCTGGGAGAAGAAGTGTGTGAGGAAAAAGGCGGGTCTTTACAGCTTGGTTTTTGTTTTTTTGTTGTTTGTTTGTTTTGAGACGGAGTCTCGTTCTGTTGCCCAGGTTGGAGAGCAGTGGCGCGATCTCGGCTCATTGCAACCTCCGTCTCCCGGGTTCAAACGATTCTTCTGCCTCAGCCTCCAGAGTAGCTGGGATTACAGGCGCCCGCCACCACCCCTGACTAATTTTTGTATTTTTAGTAGAGACGGGGTTTCCCCATGTTGGTCAGGCTGGTCTCGAACTCCTGATCTCGTGATCCGCCCGCCTCGGCCTCCCAAAGTGCTGTGATTACAGGCATGATCCACCGCGCCTGGCCAGTTGTTTGTTTGTTTTGTCTGAGACGGAGTTTCGCTCTTGTTGCCCAGGCTGGAGTGCAGTGGCGCGATCTCGGTTCACTGCAACCTCCGCCTCCCGGATTCAAGCGATTCTCCTGCCTCAGCCTCCCGAGTAGCTGGGATTACAGGCGCGCACCACCACGCCCGGCTAGTTTTTTGTATTTTTAGTAGAGACGGGGTTTCACTATGTTGGCCAGGCTGGTCTCCAACTCCTGACCTCAGATGATCCACCCGCCTGGGCCTCCCAAAGTGCTGGGATTACAGGCATGAGCCACCGCTCCCGGCCTTTTACAGCCTGTTTACCCAAAAGTCTTAATATGCGCCTACCATGGTGTGGCCCTGGGGATGTGGAAGGAGCAAAAATTGTTCGCTACCCTCTTAGAGCTTTGGTTGATGCCTGGCAGACAGGCTTTATCAAATAATTACTTCATTAATCACAAATGTGTGAAGTGCCTTACTGTAGACACGCAGAGCGTGCGGGACACGTTATCACAAAGCAACCTCCTGTAGTCTAGAGTGGGGCGTGTGGGTCAGGGAGGTGGAACGTGAGAGCTGAAGGCTGAGGAGATGCTGGGCTACTAAGAAGTGAGGAGAGCCAGACGCCATGGCTCACTCCTGTAATCCCAGCACTTTGGGTGGCCCAGGCGAAAGGATCGCTTGAGCCCAGGAGTTTGAGACCAGCCTGAGCAACACAGTGAGACCCTGTCTCTACAGAAAAATTTAAAAATTAGCCGGGCGTGCTGGTGCGTGCCTGTCATCTCAGCTATCGGGAGGCTGAGGCGGGAGAATCGCTTGAGCCCAGGTGATCGAGGCTGCCGTGAGCTATGATGGCGCCACTGCACTGCAGCCTAGGTGACAGAGCAAGACATGGTCTCAAAAAAAAGAAAAGAAAAGAAAAAACAAAGTGAAGGAAAGGGCCACTTTAGTTACAAGGGACTCCTGTACAAAGACCTGGAGGCGGGAAGAGACCGATAATGTAACCAACTCAAGTTTCTGCTACTCAGAGGCAGAGGAAGTGGGGGGTGGTGAAAGTAAAGCAGCTTTACTGATCAAATGCTCGCAGATGAGAAATGGCCAAGCTAATGTCTTTAGAAGACCATTTCAAGCTTTAGGCTGGGGAGAGGGGCTTAAAAAGGGGAACTTTGAATGGGAGGCATACAGGAGTGGTGCTGGGTACAAGGTATGTGTGTCTTGCTCCGAAGGCTGTCTTGAGTCACGGGCCACCTGGAGCATGGGCTGGTGTCAAGTCAACAATGGCCACGTTGTAGATTGATCGCCTTGAGGTGATCTCTGGAGTTTTGCAGCTGGGTTTCCATACCTAGTTTGTTTCAAGATTAGCCCCTGCGGCGAGGCGCGGTGGCTTACGCCTGTAATCCCAACAGTTTGGGAGGCCAAGGTGGGTCGCTCACTTGAGGTCAAGAGTTCAAGACCAGCCTGGCTTACATAGTGAAACCTTGACTCTACAAAAAAAAAAAAAAAAAATTAGCTGGGCATGGTGGCAGGTGCCTGTAGTCCCAGCTACTCAGGAGGCTGAGGCAGGAGAATCGCTTGAACCCAGGAGGTGGAGGTTGCAAGTGAGCCAAGACTGCGCCACTGCACTCCAACCTGGGTGTCAGAGCCAGACTCCATCTTTAAAAAATAAATAAATAAAGATTAGCCCCTGGAACTTCTAAGTAAGCACATAGATAAGCCAGCAGTGCAAGACAGTATCTAGTGGGAAAGGAGGGAAACAAAGAATTTCAAAGTATGTTTTCAAGGCTAAAGGCAAGAAAGGAATAAGAAAGTTTGCAAATGCATTTGGAATCTACACCACTTGGTTCCAGTAAGTCTTAGCAAGGTGGCGGTCATAGGGGTGTGCTGCGTCTTGCACAGGTCGGAGCTGGAGACTCGCCAGTGAACAAAACAAACTAAAGCACCTGTTGTCGTGGAGCCTGCATGCTAGTGGGGTTGATAAAGAAGGACCAGGGTCTTCTGGGGGAGAATCATCGCTCAGTAATAAGGAGGGACTTTGTCGGGGCAAGTTTTTAGGGAACGCTGCTGTCCCTCCCCAGGCCTCGGGATGTCTCTGGCAGATGAGCTCTTAGCTGATCTCGAAGAGGCAGCAGAAGAGGAGGAAGGAGGAAGCTATGGGGAGGAAGAAGAGGAGCCAGCGATCGAGGATGTGCAGGAGGAGACACAGCTGGATCTTTCCGGGGATTCAGTCAAGACCATCGCCAAGCTATGGGATAGTAAGATGGTAAGAGGACAAGAGGTGTTCCTAGCAGGGGGCTCTAGACAGAATCTCCCAGAAGGGGGTGATACAGGCTTCTTTTTGAAGAGTGCTGGATTCTGACTGTCTTCTCCTTTCCTACAGTTTGCTGAGATTATGATGAAGATTGAGGAGTATATCAGCAAGCAAGCCAAAGCTTCAGAAGGTGCTTCCTCCCACTCTGTGCCCCTCCCCATCTCCTGTCTCTCCTGCCAGGCCCCCTGGCTCCCTGGCTGCTTGTGGCTGGGTATATCTCCTTCTCAGCCTTTTCCAGAGCCTTCTTTTTTTTTTGTTTCACCCCAACCCGTTCCCTTTTCCACTAAATATATATTGCATTGTAAAGCTCATGCTTCTTAAGTCCTTCCTGTGTGCTGAGCTTACTGATCATGATAGGACTCAGCTTGAGGTTTCCCAGACTTCACTGATTCACATGACCGGTTACAGGGTTTTTGCCACATCTATAAGCCGCTTATCCTATTATTTGCTTAACATATTCTTTGAGTCTAGGACTTTTTTTCTTAAATTTATCTGAGAAGGAAGCAAATTGCTACCATGAATGGAAAACTGGTATCATTTGGCAAAGACAAAGTCACTGTATAAAAATAGATATATAATTATTTAGGAACCACCTAAGGCCGGGCGCCGTGGCTCACGCCTGTAATCCCAGCACTTTGGGAGGCGGAGGCAGGTGGATCATGAGTTCAGGAGATCGAGACCATCCTGGCTAACACGGTGACACCCCGTCTCTACTAAAAATACAAAAAATTAGCCAGGCGTGGTGGCGGGTGCCTGTAGTCCCAGCTACTCAGGAGGCTGAGGCGGGAGAATGGCGTGAACCTGGGAGGCGGAGCTTGCAGTGAGCCGAGATCGTGCCACTGCACTCCAGCCTGGGCGACAGAGCAAGACTCCGTCTCAAAAAAAAAAAAAATAACCTAAAACCTTTTCTCATGCCCAAATTGAGAGAACACTAGCTTATCTCATGAGTGCTCAGACTCACTCTTAAGAGGGCAGTCCTGTTACCATTCCTATTCTTTTTTTTTTTTCCTTGAGATAGAGTCTCCCTCTGTCGCCCAGGCTGGAGTGCAGTGATGTGTTCTTGGCTCATTGCAACCTCCACCTCCCGGGTTCAAGCGATTCTCCTCCCTCAGCCTTATGTATAGCTGGGATTACAGGTATGCAACACCATGCCTGGCTATTTTGTATTTTTTAGTAGAGATGGGGTTTCACCATGTTGACCAGGCTAGTCTCGAACTCCTGACCTCAAGTAATCCGCCCACCTCGGCCTCCCAAAGTGCTGGGATTACAGGCATGAGCCACTACGCCCAGCCTTCCCATTCTTCTTGAATGGAATTTGTTGATGACAGGAAGCCATAGGAGGTTTCTGGGGAAAGAAGTGTAGTGAGAGGGCAGAGTTTCGGGAGACTCACTGCTTGCTTTCTTTAACGTTTACCTGGGCACCCAGTTGAATCGCCCAGGTCTTTGCTCTCAAAGTACTCAAGGTCTAGTGGAAGAGGCAGGCCAGGTTCCAGACAGCTATCAGTGGTGGTACCAAGCTGGGGACACCGGAGCCACAGGAGGGACTGGCTGACCCTGCCCCAGGTGTCAGGAAGAATCGATAGCTGAATTGGACTGTAGAGCATGAATGCATGTGCCAGGCAAAGAAAGGGAGAAGGGGGCCCAGGGAAAGACAGCGGCAGGCCCGGGGCCTCAGATATCCGGAGAGAGAATCCTGCAGAGTTCCAGATGCCAGGCCAAGGAATTTCTCCCTCCAGAGGGTTATGGGACACAGAAAGTGACATTTCCTGATGTCAGGCCAGGCTCAGGGATGGAGTCAGACCCCGTCACACCCGGTGTCTGGTTGAGGAGGCAGAGGTGAAACATCTCACAAGCTGTGGCAGTCCCTGTTTACTGGAGGTGCACAAGTGCTGCGGGTACACAGAGGAGGCGTCTGATCCTTCCAGAAAGGGAGGGAAGGATTCTGAGTCGCTGCCTGAGTCTTAAGGACTTAAAGAGCCATTTGAGCATCAGGGTTAGGAGTGCAGACTCTGACGCCGCCCTGCCTGGTGTCAGATCTGAGCTCTGCCTTCTACTGGCTGTGACATCAGGCAGTTAGTATTTGCATGACTTTTAAACACAACATCTTTTTGTTTGTTTGTTTTTTGAGACAGGGTCTCACTCTGTCACCCAGGCCAGAATGCAGTGGCACGATCCCAGCTCACTGCAGCCTTGACCTTGTGGGCTCAGGCGTTCCTGCCTCAGCCTCCCAGGCAGCTGGGACCACAGGTGTACACCACCATGCCTGGCTAATTTTTTTTCTTTAATTATGTGTAGAGATGGGGTCTCCCTATGTCGCCCAGGTTGCTCTCCAACTCCTGGGCTCAAGCAGTTCTCCTGCCTCAGCCTCCCAAAGTGCTGGGATTACAGGTATGAGCCACTGTGCCTGACCTCTTATTACTAAAGCACAAAGAAGCGTTTTCCAGAAACAGACGTGGGGTAAGGGATGCTCTGGGGAGAGGGAGCAGCACATGCAGAGGCCAGGAGGGGTCTGGCGCGGTGGCTCACGCCTGTCATCCCAGCACTTTGGGTGGTCAAGGCAGATGGATCACCTGAGGTCGGGAGTTCGAGACCAGCCTGCCCAACATGGTGAAACCCCGTCTCTACTAAAAATACAAACAAACAAAAAAAATTAGCCGGGCGTGGTGGCACATGCCTGTAATCCCAGCTACTCAGGAGGCTGAGGCAGGAGAATCGCTTGAACCCAGGAGGCGGAGGTTGCAGTGAGCTGAGATCATGCCACTATACTCTAGCCTGGGCAACCAGAGCGAAATTATGTCTCAAAAAAAAAAAAAAAGGCTAGGAGGAGTGGGTGTCTGGGGCACTGTGATCACTCCTTTATGGCTGGAGTGGAATAAAATGAGGTGTGGTGAGAGGATGGGGCGGGAAGGGCGGGAGGCCAGACTGCAGAGCTGCTGAGTCAGCAAACAGGAACGGGGGAACTCCCTGTGTGCCAGGTGCTGTCCTGGGTACTCGGCTGTGGGTACAGCCAACGCAGGCACAGCACTGGTCCCTGCAGAGCTTCCGGAGTTGGGGAGGCCCTGAATGTCAGTCTGAGGACTCGGTCATTAGCCTTGGGGCTGTGGGGAGCCGTAGGAGGTTTCACACGGTCAGTTCTGGGGTAGATGGGGTCAAGTCTAGACTGGTGTGGAGGGAGAGGGATTGAAGGCAGGAACACAAGTTCAGGGATGTCTGCAGACATCAGCCTGTCCCTGGTTTACTCTTCAGCCCCTCCTTCCTGACCCCTCCCAACTTCATCCTCCGCCTCCTCCAGCTGCGGGACCCGAGAGGGGGTAGGGATTTAGATACTCACACCCATGCCTCCGTGTCCTCACAGTGATGGGACCAGTGGAGGCCGCGCCTGAATACCGCGTCATCGTGGATGCCAACAACCTGACCGTGGAGATCGAAAACGAGCTGAGTGAGTGCTGGGGGGCAGGCGGAGACAGCCCCGTGTGACGTCCCTCACGCCCCCTCTCCCTTCCCCACTGGCCTTTCCCAGGGTCCTGCCCCTAAGCCCAAGCTCAGATCGAGGTTGACCTGCTGTCACAGAGTGGCTGAAATAAGAAGGAAGTGCGTTCTCTCGCGTATGAGTCTGAGGAGCACTCGGGGATGGTGTGGCCGCTTGGCTGCCTGTAGGGCCCCGGCTCTTTCCATCCTGTTGGTCGGCCACCTGCCTCACGGTGCGAGGTGACTGCCCCACCTCCAGCCATCACCTCCGCATTCCCACCAGCAAGGCGCTTCTTTTCTTTAAGAACATGTCACTGCAGCTCACGTTTTACAGACCAGAACTAATTCCCCTGGTCACACCTAGCGGTAAGGACGGCTGAGAAAGGCTGTATGCTGGTGCCCGTGTGCCAGGCCACAAGCCAGGGCTTCAGTTACTAAAGGAAGAAGGGGACATGGGTGTTAGGGCCAACCAGCAGAGTCTACCTTCCATCTCACCCGACAACCTCCTGTCCCGTTTACCCTAGACATCATCCATAAGTTCATCCGGGATAAGTACTCAAAGAGATTCCCTGAACTGGAGTCCTTGGTCCCCAATGCACTGGATTACATCCGCACGGTCAAGGTGAGCGCAGAGAAGGTGGGGTGCTTCTGCTGGCGTGAAGGGGCAGGCGGGGCTCACTCTCGGACCCCCTCCCAGAGGCCTCAGGGTCTGGAGACGATGGAGAGGAGTGGACGAGGGCTCAGTGGTCTGCTCTGCCCAGCGTGGGAGGGACGGAGCCTGGACAGGACTTTCTCAGGGCTCCCCTCCAACCCCAGTCTCCCGAGAGGGCTTCCCCGCTGGCCTGACCCACGCTGCTCCCGCTGTGGTTGGAGCCGGTGGCATTGGAGTTGACATCCGAAGGTTGACACAGGGCAGGCACACGGAGATTTGGGGCAGAGAGACGTCTAAGTGCAGAGAGCTGGAGAGGGAACAAGTGGGGAGGAAGTGAGGCGGGGAAGGAGGGGACGGGGAAGAGGTCGGATCACGTCCAGCCTTTGGGTCTTAGGAGAAAGCCAAGGAAGGGTTTCGGAAAAGAGGGGCAGGTGTGCGTGAGGGCGGGGAGAGGAGGAGGTCCCCACGCATGTCCAGGAAAGGATTAGGATGGCGGTGGGGAAGCCCCTGCAGGGAAGCGAGGCCGCGGATTTGCACTCCGACTTGACGCAGGCCAGAGGCTTGTGAGGCCACAGTCTTTCCAGACGCCACTCTGCCCGGGCTCCGTTTCCAGGTCAGCGAAAGCAGGGCAGATGGTGTGGATGCTTGACGTGGTGGAGGCAGGAATGGTGTGGATGCTTCAGGCGGTGGAGGCAGGAGAGGCCCCCAGTGCAGAGACCCTGACTGTCCCAGTGTCCCTAAGAAGAGACCTGAGGAGGTGCTGAGCAAGAGAGGTTCTCGAGCCTTCCTGAGTTCCCGAGCCTCCCCTATCTTCTCTGCTCGCCCCCAGGAGCTGGGCAACAGCCTGGACAAGTGCAAGAACAATGAGAACCTGCAGCAGATCCTCACCAATGCCACCATCATGGTCGTCAGCGTCACCGCCTCCACCACCCAGGGGTATGTCCGCTTCGAGGGAGGCGCCGGGCCCTAATGGGATTGGGGATTAGGCTGGAGCTACACACGCAGGTGTACACACGCACACACACATACACACATGCACACACACACACAGAACCGAGAGGGCTGGGGCTGGGCACACCAGGCAGGCGGGAGATCCAGGAGGCTGGGCCCACCCGCCCCTGCAGGCAGCAGCTGTCGGAGGAGGAGCTGGAGCGGCTGGAGGAGGCCTGCGACATGGCGCTGGAGCTGAACGCCTCCAAGCACCGCATCTACGAGTATGTGGAGTCCCGGATGTCCTTCATCGCACCCAACCTGTCCATCATTATCGGGGCATCCACGGCCGCCAAGATCATGGGTGAGTCCCCGGGCTGGGTCCCATGGAGCGGGGGTCTGCTGACACTGTGACCTTGGGAAAGCTACATCCTTTTCTGTAGAATGGGGGCTTTGGCACCTGGACCTCAGCACCCCGTCTCCCTGGACATCACAGAGGTCAGCCAGCCTGGCACACAGCAAAGCCTCGTCTGTGGGAAAAACACTCACCCACAGCTCCTTCTCCCTCCCCTGTGCCGGAAACCCAGAGATGACCACACCCAGGCCCTGTTGTCAGGGAGCTCCTGGTTTGGTGAAAATGGTTCCAAAACACAGCCATCCCTGGAACGGCGTTAGTGTGGCTTAGCACAAACGTGGTGGTCAGCTTCCTGTTGGGGGCCTCCTCCCTGCACCCCCAGGCCAGCTGCCCTCCCTCTCTGAGCCTCCTTTGCATCTGCCCCTTGCGGAATGGGCCAGGTCGCCCGCCTGGCAGGGCCATCGAGGAATCCAACCAGAACTTCATGTAAAGGTGCCCAGCACACGTCGAGCCCCCAGGCAGATTTACTCACCCCCACCTCTCTGCTTTCTTCTGACCGCCCCCCCTTCCTCCCTCCCTCCCACCGCAGGTGTGGCCGGCGGCCTGACCAACCTCTCCAAGATGCCCGCCTGCAACATCATGCTGCTCGGGGCCCAGCGCAAGACGCTGTCGGGCTTCTCGTCTACCTCAGTGCTGCCCCACACCGGCTACATCTACCACAGTGACATCGTGCAGTCCCTGCCACCGGTGAGCCCACTGCGTCATGGCCCCTCCCCCGGCCCCCCTGGAGCCTTCCGCTGTGCCCAGACAGCCTGAGCAGCCACCCACCATCTGGCCCAGCTGACGGTAGCACTCAGGAGCTGGGAACAGGGTGGCATGGGACGTGAGAGCCAGGGCTCTGCAGCAGACCAGCTCCAGCACCCACCAGTCAGGTGACTGTGGGCAAGAGGCATGAGCGCCCTGTGCCTCAGTCTCCTCCCCTATCAAATGGGAGCACAGCGCCTGCTTCATGAGTTGGGACGAGGGCTCAGTGCACATGAAGCACTTACAGTTCAGGCCTAGCTCACGACAAGCAGCGTCGGGTTAGCGTGCAACTGCTCCGAAGACCACCCTCAGGTTTGACCATTCACTAGAAAGACTCACAGAATCCACTGAGGGCTGCACATCAGCCATGGGGAGAGACACACAGGAGGGGCAGGAGAGGTCACCAACCTCGGAGCTTCCCGGGTCCTCTCCCTGCAGTCGGGACACATCACCATCCCAGCATCGACGCCTGACAGCACACACACAGGCCCGCTAGCCTGGCGGGGCGCAGTGGCTCGTGCCTGTCATCCCAGCACTTTGGGAGGCCGAGGCGGGCAGATCACCTGAGGTCAGGTGTTCGAGACCAGCCTGGCCAACATGGTGAAACCCCATCTCTACCAAAAATACAAAAAACTAGCTGGGTATAGTGGCACACACTTATAATCCCAGCTACTTGGGAGGCTGAGGCAGGAGAATCGCTTGAACCCAGGAGGTGGAGGTTGCAGTGAGCTAAGATCATACCACTGCCCTCCAGCCTGGGTGACAGAGTGAGACTCTGTCTCAAAAAAAAAAAAAAACAAGACAGGTTCTGGGACAGACAGGCCTGGGTCCAGACCCTGCTCTGTCCGACTGTGGCGAGTTACCTCAGGCTCACGGCCCTGTGCCCTGCCTGGCCTCCCCCAGGGATGGGGAGAACAATAGCACTGATGGCCAAGGCTGGGCAGGCACTTCCTGGCCCCACCCCCCAGCCCTGTGTGGGGTTTTTTTTGTGGTCTTTTCTGCGACCCTTTAGGTCAGGCACTGCTACTGGAACACACCCAGGGAGGCTGGCAGGTCACCCCATCCTGGGAGGAGAGAGAGTGGGCGATAGAACCCAGGACGGGTGGGCCTGGGGCTCGGGGCTCCAGCTGCCTCACTGCACCCCTGCCATCGCCACCGCCTCACAGCCCTGGGCATATGGGTTAAACCTGCCCCAGGGAGCCTGATGTCTTGTCACCCAGGCCTCTGCCTCTTCATTTGGCCATCTCACATCGGTCCAGGCACAGGCCGTAGACACCACAGGCCTGTAAGGGAGGCCAGGGCTGGCCATCGCTTCACTGTGGCTGACAGCTGGGCTCTGTTTGCAGTTTGGATTGGAACCCTGGCTCCATCACCTGCTGGCTGTCTCCCTGGCCACATGACTTGAAGCCTTGGTTTCCACATCTGAAAAGGGGGTGCAATGATCACACCAGCCCAATATTTGAATATTTGATGAGATGATCCGAGGGGCGTGCTTAGCATGGGGCTGGCATCCAGGCCGAGTGCACTCCCCCCGGCGTCTCCACAGTCACCACCGTCCTCGTTGTCAGCGTGCCTTACTGTCATCCTTACCTGATGGCCACTTATCAGCTGGGACATGGCTCTGTGCCCTGCCCTCATCCCCTCTTCCTGTGAAGTAGGAGCTGAGAGCACACACCTCTAGAGCCCAAGGGTGGAAAGCCCCCTTCCAGGACCCCAGGTAGAGCCAGAGGAGGAGCGCGCGCGGTTGCTTTGCTGTTACCTCTGTCTGTCTGTCTCACACAGATTCCACCCCCGTTTTCCGTTGCTCCAGGATCTGCGGCGGAAAGCGGCCCGGCTGGTGGCCGCCAAGTGCACACTGGCAGCCCGTGTGGACAGTTTCCACGAGAGCACAGAAGGGAAGGTGAGGAGGGAAAGGTGAGGGGCGGCCGGGCGTCTTTTCCTCTGGGCCTGGGGTGTCTCTGCAGGGAGACCCTCAGCAGGGAGCCCACCCCAGCGAGCACTGTCCTACCAAGGCGGAGGCAGTGCTTCTGCCCACCCTCCCTGGGGTCAGGCACCCCCTTCCCCAGTGGGGTTTCCTAGGTCTGCTGTTGGAAGGTAGCATGAACCTACTGGCTTCAAACAGTGCAGGTGTGGCCGGGTGCAGTAGCTCACGCCTGTAATCCCAGCACTTTGGGAGGCCAGGGTGGGCGGGTCACAAGGTCAGGAGTTTGAGACCAGCCTGGCCAACATGGTGAAACCCCATCTCTACCAAAATTAGCCGGGTGTGGTGGCACGCACCTGTAATCCCAGTTACTCAGGAGGCTGAGGCAGGAGAATTGCTTGAACCTGGGAGACGGAGGTTGCAGTGAACTGAGATTGCATCATTGCACTCCAGCTTGGGTGACATAGCGAGACTCCATCTAAAAACAAAAACAAAAAACAGTACAGGTTTATTATCTGTGGTCCTGTAGGTCAGAAGTCCAAAATGAGTTTCACTGGGCTGAAGTCAGGGTGTCATCCTGGAGCGTTCCTTCTGGGGGATTCAAGGGATAATCCATTCCCTTGTCTTTTCCAGCTTCTAGGGGTCACTGGCACCCCTTAGCTCGTGGCCCTCCCTCTGTCTGCGGAGCCAGCCACATAGCACCCTCAGACCTCTCTCTGACTCTGCTTCTGTCTTCATATCTCGGCCTCTGTTTTTGTTCCCCTCTTCTATTTTAAGGGCCCCTGTGGCTATACTGAGCCTACTCAGATGGTCCAGGATAGTCTTCCCAGCTCACAATCCTTAAAATCCTTCTTAACCTCTTCACGTCCCTTTTGCCCTGTGATTCTGGGAATTAGAACATGGGCCTCTTTGGGCATGTGTGTGTTGGTGGGGGCGTAATTTGCCTTCCACACCAGGATCTGTCCCCGCTGCAACAGGGGATGTTATTCAAGTAATTATTCAGTTACCTTCTGTCTTCCTTGGTAGATGTACTCGGGAGAGGAGACGTTTTCTGTCTTGTGAACTGTCGTTTGCCAAGCACCCGGCCTGGCACAGCGTTCAGGTGTTCCGTGTCCCCTTCTCCTTTCCCTCTCCCCATCTCACCCCTGGTCTGGGTGTGGGGGTGCAGCTGTGAGTAGCACAGACAGGACCCCTGCCCCGTGGCGTGGACATTCTTGTTGGGGCCGGGTCAAAGAGACAGTCAACAGGTGAACTCTGTCCTGCGTCTAGCGGTGCTAAGTCAACACCAAGAAGAAAAAGAAAGGGGGTGGCGGTGAGGCAGCATTAGGTGCTGATTTAACTAAGGCACGTGGATACTCGGGGGGTCCGCTCAGAGGAGGCCTGGGTGGGCAGCCCACGCGAGCAGCTGCAGGACCTCCCCCTCGCCCTCCCCAGGTGGGCTACGAACTGAAGGATGAGATCGAGCGCAAATTCGACAAGTGGCAGGAGCCGCCGCCTGTGAAGCAGGTGAAGCCGCTGCCTGCGCCCCTGGATGGACAGCGGAAGAAGCGAGGCGGCCGCAGGTGAGGGGCCCTGGGGGTCCGGTAGGCATGGGGGTCATGGAGGGGAGAAGCCGGCGTCCTCCTCCCAGCCGACTCCCTGGCGCCGCCCACCCACCCGTCCCCAGGTACCGCAAGATGAAGGAGCGGCTGGGGCTGACGGAGATCCGGAAGCAGGCCAACCGTATGAGCTTCGGAGAGGTCAGACTCCCAGAGCGCCCTCCTCAACCCCACAGCCAGCCAGCCGCCACCGCCCTCTGCCTCCTGCCACCGCCCCTCCTCTCGTCCTGTGGCCCTGGCTCATGTCTAGGGCGCTGCCCCAGCCTCCTCCCCCCCGGCCTCTATTCTCGTTTCCATCCATTCAGCCCCAAAGCGACCCTCGCGGCCCTTGGAGCCTGTGTCTCCGCTGCTTAGAGCCCCCGCGGCTTCCCATCGCCCCGGGCTCCTTGGCCGGTTCCTCCCTGCCCAGAGGCTCCTTAGTGCCCTGCTGCACGGCCGCCCCGTCCCTGGGCCCCGCCAGTCTCCTCTGTTATCCCAGCGTCATCCCCTTGGTCCTGCAGGACCGAACTCAGAGGCCACCTCATCCTATTAAACCTGTTCTGGTTCCTGACATCCCCCGACCCACACGAGTAAGGAAGGAATGGCCTCCCAACTCTGAGCTCACAGAGCAGTGCTGGGACCGGGCCCCTCTCAGGCTCCCCGGCATCCCCCGCGTGTGTGGGCCCCCAGGCCTCAGCCGGGCCGAGTGGGTACCGGAGCAGGTGCCCGTGGGACCGGCCGGCTGGTGACCGCTGGGCTTCCGGCTGGTGGAGGGGGTGCCTCGGTGGCTGGAGGGCAGGGCCTGGTCGCTGAACTGCAGGGCGCCTCCTCTTCCCCCTAGATCGAGGAGGACGCCTACCAGGAGGACCTGGGATTCAGCCTGGGCCACCTGGGCAAGTCGGGCAGTGGGCGTGTGCGGCAGACACAGGTAAACGAGGCCACCAAGGCCAGGATCTCCAAGACGCTGCAGGTATGGGCCAGACCCAGGTGGGGCTGGGGACCGAGGGACACAAGGTGGGGGGAGCCCAGATCGCAGCCTCCCTGTCCTCCCCACAGCGGACCCTGCAGAAGCAGAGCGTCGTATATGGCGGGAAGTCCACCATCCGCGACCGCTCCTCGGGCACGGCCTCCAGCGTGGCCTTCACCCCACTCCAGGTACCTCCCCTGGGCCGGCTCTGTCCCCAGCCCTGAGACCTTGGCAAGGCCCCTTGCCCTCTGCCCCTGTGAAGAAGGCCAGGATGAGTCTCCTCATGGGGCTGTTGTGGAGGGTGTGGTGACGAGGTATGCAGAGGACGTAGACAGCTCCTGGCACACAGGAAGAGGTTAGCAGAGACGAGAGCCCAGCGCTGAGCAGTCCTCGTGAGCACGCACTGCTTTAGAACCAGGCCCACAGCTGTGTTCAGGGCACCCAGTTCCTCTGTCGGGCTGTGAGCGGGTAACACTGCTCAGCCTCCAGGCCCTCCAGTTCAAAACGGCCAGGACGGTTAAGGTAACCTCAGGACCCCACTCGAGAAAGTTCCCGGCTAGGCGGGCTTGGATGTCAAGTGTGGGTCCAGGCCCCAGCCAGTCAGCAGTGAGCAGCGTGGAGCATGGCAGTCACCGCATCGTCGGAGCCTCGGTTTACCATCCACAGAGCAGGGCGAGCCTGCACCACGGAGGCGAGACAGCAGCGAGCTCATCTGCCCAGTCAGCGGGTGTCTACGCAGCACCTGCTGAGTTCTGTCAGTGTTCCCGGCTCTGGGGATGAAGCAACGAATGAGAGACAAGTCTTACCTTCTTGGAGCCAGTGGGTGGCCGGGCGCAGACAGCTCAGTAAGATGTCCAGTGTAGGAGAAGGCAGAAATGCCAGGCCGGGCGCAGACAGCTCAGTAAGATGTCCAGTGTAGGAGAAGGCAGAAATGCCAGGCTGGGCGCAGACAGCTCAGTAAGATGTCCAGTGTAGGAGAAGGCAGAAATGCCAGGCCGGGCGCAGACAGCTCAGTAAGATGTCCAGTGTAGGAGAAGGCAGAAATGCCAGGCCGGGCGCAGACAGCTCAGTAAGATGTCCAGTGTAGGAGAAGGCAGAAATGCCAGGCCGGGCGCAGACAGCTCAGTAAGATGTCCAGTGTAGGAGAAGGCAGAAATGCCAGGCTGGGCGCAGACAGCTCAGTAAGATGCCCAGTGTAGTAGAAGGCAGAAATGCCAGGCCGGGCGCGGTGGCTCACGCCTGTAATCCCAGCACTTTGGGAGGCCGAGGCAGGTGGATCATGAGGTCAGGAGATCGAGACCATCCTGGCTAACACGGTGAAACCCCGTCTCTACTAAAAATACAAAAACTTAGCCGGGCGTGGTGGCGGGCGCCTGTAGTCCCAGCTACTTGGGAGGCTGAGGCAGGAGAATGGCGTGAACCCGGGAGGCGGAGCTTGCAGTGAGCCGAGATCGCGCCACTGCACTTCAGCCTGGGCGACAGAGCCAGACTCTGTCTCAAAAAAAAAAAAAAGAAGGCAGAAATGCCAGGGAGGGGAGGAGGTGGAAGGTAGGAGGTGGGACAGGGGAGGCTCTCGTTTCGGAGCAGCCAGGGAGGGCCTCTTTGAGAAGATGAGGCCAGTGGCTGTGCCTTTCCAAGCCTCCCCTCCTCCATCATGAGGTGCTCAGGACTGAAAAGAACGCACAGGAAGCACTTGGCACTGGGCTCACCATTAGAGCCCAATGACTGGGTCCTGTTATTATTTTTAGAGACGGGGGCTCGCTCTGTTGCCTTGAAAATATTTAGGAAGTGCCAGCCAGGTGTTGGCTCCCATTGCTGCCACTATGATCGTCAGTGGTGTTGGTGTGATTTGTGCTAGGACCTCGGGCCAGCCATGTCCCCCAGGGACTCAGTTTCCTTATGCAGAAACTGGGCAGGATTGGCTGTCCTCAAGCATTGGTTGTTTTTAGCACCCCTGAGGAACTTCGTACAAATCCAGGCGCCCTGGTTCCTCCCCACCCTCTCCCTCTAGACCCACTGAGTCAGAATCTCCCAAGACAGGGCAACTCCAGGGACAGGCAAACTGTCTCATGCCCACCAAGGCCTGAGTGCCATGGGGAAGGGCCTGGGGGGCTCTGATGGGTCACAGTTGGGGCCTTCTCCTCACCTAACCCATCATCCTCTCTCCCTCACCTGCCCAGGGCCTGGAGATTGTGAACCCACAGGCGGCAGAGAAGAAGGTGGCTGAGGCCAACCAGAAGTATTTCTCCAGCATGGCTGAGTTCCTCAAGGTCAAGGGCGAGAAGAGTGGCCTTATGTCCACCTGAATGACTGCGTGTGTCCAAGGTGGCTTCCCACTGAAGGGACACAGAGGTCCAGTCCTTCTGAAGGGCTAGGATCGGGTTCTGGCAGGGAGAACCTGCCCTGCCACTGGCCCCATTGCTGGGACTGCCCAGGGAGGAGGCCTTGGAAGAGTCCGGCCTGGCCTCCCCCAGGACCGAGATCACCGCCCAGTATGGGCTAGAGCAGGTCTTCATCATGCCTTGTCTTTTTTAACTGAGAAAGGAGATTTTTTGAAAAGAGTACAATTAAAAGGACATTGTCAAGATCTGTCCTTGGGGAGTGATCATTTTTCAAACAGCCGGGGCAACTAGAAGAATCAGAGCTGTGGAGCTTTGAGAAAAGAGCTTGGCCCTCGGGTCCAAGCGGTGTCTAGGCCCACTCCCTTCCCCGTTACTTTCTCGTCATGGGATCCCAGAAGGAAAAAGCCCTCTCCAACCCCCTGGAGAGCCGCAGTCACTTTGATAGCAAATGATGTGGCTGCCAACAGCCGCAGATCTCAGCGCAGGCCGACCGGGATTGCTGTCCACCTCAGGCCAGCCTCCTCACCTTTCCAAGCCTCCACACCTACGCCCAGGTGCCCAGGACTGGAAAGAATGCACAGAAAGCACTTAGCATGGGACTTGCCATCAGCGCCCTATAACCAGGTCCTGTTATGATTGGGTTTTTTAGAGACGGGGTCTCTGTTGCCCAGGTTGGAGTACAGTGATGCGATGAAGCTCACTAAAGCCTCAAACTCCTGGGCTGGGATTACAGGCATGAACCAGCACAGCTGGCCTCCTGGTTAATTTAAATTTTTTTTTTTTTTCTGAGGTGGAGTCTCGCTCTGTTGCCCAGGCTAGAGTACAGTGGTGCAATCTTGGCTCACTGCAACCTCTACCTCCCGGGTTCAAGCAATTCTCCTGCCTCAGCCTCCTGAGTAGCTGGGATTACAGGCATGTGCCACCATGTCCCGCTAATTTTTATAGTTTTTAGTAGAGACAGGGTTTCGCCATGTTGGTCAGGCTGTTCTCGAACTCCTGACCTCATGATATGCCCACCTCAGCCTCCCAAAGTGCCAGGATTACAGGTGTGAGCCACCACCCCAGCCCCATTTTTAAATTGTTTATAGACAGGGTCGTGCTCTATTACCCAGGCTGGGCTTGAACTCCTGTGCTCAAGTGAGCTTTCCACCTCAGCCTCCCTAAGTGTTGAGATTACAGGCTTGAGCCGCTGTGTCTGGCCTCTTATTATTATTATTATTTTTTTTTTTGAGACAGAATCTCACTCTGTTGCCCAGGCTGGAGTGCAGTGGGATGATCCTGGCTCATGGCAACCTCCACCTCCCGGGTCCAGGTGATTCTCCTGCCTCAGTCTCCTGAGTAGCTGGGATTACAGGCGCCCATGGGTTTTGTTTGTTTGTTTGTTTGTTTGTTTGTTTTTCAGACGGAGTCTTGCTCTGTCACCCAGGCTGGAGTGCAATGACATGGTCTTGGCTCACTGCAAACTCCGCCTCCCAGGTTGAAGTGATTCTCCTGCCTCAGCCTCCCGAATAGCTGGGATTACAGGCGCCCGCCACCACGCCTGGCTAATTTTGTATTTTTAGCAGAGACGGGGTTTCACCATTTGGGCCAGGCTGGTCTTGAATTGCTGACCTTGTGATCTGCCCGCCTCGGCCTCCCAAAGTGCTGGGATTACAGGTGTGACCCACCGCGCCCGGCCGAGATGGGGTTTTACCATGTTGGCCAGGCTGGTCTCGAACTCCTGACCTCAAATAATCCGCCTGCCTCGTCTCCCAAAGTGCTGGGATTACCCTGTGCCTGGCCCAGCCTCTTATTTATAACCAGTGTTGAGGGACTGTGTGGAGCCGGGCACAGGCGAAGCAGGCAGGCTTCCTGCCCTGGTAGGACCTGGTTGCTATAAAAGTCCTGCCAGGTGAGCAGAAGGAGCACACTTCCCCTCCCCTGACCTCCAGTCACTGAGTCTCGGGAACCGGGGCTCGGCCAGGAGCGCCTTTACTTGGACTGAGGGGAATGTGGCCTGCAGACAGTCAGGAGAGTTTCCAGGGGACAGCAGGGGCTGTCCTAGCGGGTGGCATGAAACCGTCTCCCTGGAGAGGTTAAGGAAGAGCAACTCCAGGGGTTCCATTTACTATGTGCTCCGGAGCTGGGCTACACGGTGGTACTAAGGAGGCAGCGCTAGTCACCTGACCTACAAGGTCGGGCTTCTGTTAGTTACCTAAGAGATGTTACCAGGACAAGCAGCAGCCTGGTGGGAAGATGATGCCTCCAGGTCTCTACCTCCTCTCTCTCTCCCTCCTTCTCTCCACCTCCCCTCTCTCTCCCTCCCTCTCTCCACCTCCCCTCTCTCTCTTCCTCCCTCTCCACCTCCCCTCTCTCTCCCTCCCTCTCTCCACCTCCCCTCTCTCTCCCTCCCTCTCTCCACCTCCCCTCTCTCTCTCCCTCCCTCTCTCCACCTCCCCTGTCTCCACCTCCCCTCCCTCTGTCCCTCCCTCTCTCCACCTCCCCTCCCTCTGTCCCTCCCTCTCTCCACCTCCCCTCTCTCTCCCTCCCTCTCTCCACCTCCCCTCTCTCTCTTCCTCCCTCTCCACCTCCCCTCTCTCTCTTCCTCCCTCTCCACCTCCCCTCTCTCCCTCCCTCTCTCCACCTCCCCTGTCTCCACCTCCCCTCCCTCTGTCCCTCCCTCTCTCCACCTCCCCTCTCTCTGTCCCTCCCTCTCTCCACCTCCCCTCTCTCTGTCCCTCCCTCTCTCCACCTCCCCTCTCTCTCCCTCCCTCTCTCCACCTCCCCTCTCTCTCCCTCCCTCTCTCCACCTCCCCTCTCTCTGTCCCTCCCTCTCTCCACCTCCCCTCTCTCTCTCCCTCCCTCTCCACCTCCCCTCTCTCCACCTCCCCTCACTCCACCTTCCCTCTCTCTCCCTCTCTCTCCTCCCCTCTCCCTCCCTCCACCTCCCCTCCCTCTCTCCACCTCCCCTCCCTCTCTCCCTCCCTCCCTCCCTCTCTCCACCTTCCCTCTCCCTCCCTCCACCTTCCCTCTCCCTCCCTCCACCTTCCCTCTCCCTCCCTCTCCACCTTCCCTCTCTCCTCCCCTCTCCCTCCCTCTCTCCACCTCCCCTCTCTCCCTCCCTCCCTCCCTCTCTCCACCTTCCCTCTCTCCCTCCCTCTCTCCACCTTCCCTCTCTCTCTCTCCCTCCCTCTCTCCAGCTCATGCTATCTGGGTCTCCCTCTGACTTTCTAGGTCCTGTCTGAGATTTTGCTCTTTCTGTTCCCCTCTCTGGGCCTCCCCGTCACCACTCTGTGTATCTCTGGATCCCTGTCCTTCAACCCAGAGCTCTGTCTCTGGACCTCAGTGGCAATCTCTAAATCTCTCTCCTTCCTCAAGTCAAAAAGTCGACACACTCAGGAGGTTCCCTTGAGTGGCTGAACTACCCCAGGTTGTATAACTCAAGTCTGTTTTCTCAATGTTATCCCTGACCCTCTGGGTCAACCCTGTTTGAAAATGACAACCTTTGCTGATCTCTACATACTGGTCTGCCAGGGAAGGACCCGTGGTCCACAACCCTGTTCAGAATCCCCCATCTCCCTTGGCCAAAATATCCGGCATCTACCAATGGGGCTGTGGCATGAGGGTGTCAATCTCAGGAAAGGAATCTTGAGTCGCCTGGGCCTGCAGCCCTCGTACTTTCAGAACAGAGGTTCTCAGAATTTAATGCGCTTCAGAATTACACTGAGGACTTGTTAAAACATAGTTGCTGGGCCCAGAGTTTCTGATTCAGTCTAGGGTGGGGCTCAAAAATGTGCCTTTCAAACAAGTTCCCAGGTGATGGGTACGTGCCTGACCCAAGGCCACATTTCAGAAGCACTGCTCTAGAAAAGAAGACTCTGTAAGCGGCTCTTACGCTGGGCGCGGTGGCTCACGCCTGTAATCCCAGCTACTTGGGAGGCTGAGGTGGGAGAATGGCTTGAACCTGGGAGGCAGAGGTTGCAGTGAGCCGAGATGGCGCCCCTGCACTCCAGCCTGGGTGAGAGAGACACTGGCTCCCACCTCAAGATCGTTTTAGTTGGTCCAGTGTAAGCCTGGGTATCTGGACTTTTTTATTTTTTATTTTTATTTTTTGAGACGGCGTCTTGCTCTGTCACCCAGGCTGGAGTGCAATGGCGCAATCTCGGGTCACTGCAACCTCTGCCTCCCAGGTTCAAGTGATTCTCCCGCCTCAGCCTCCCGAGTAGCTGGGATTACAGGCACATGCCACCATGCCCAGCTAATTTTTGTATTTTTAGTAGAGACGGGGTTTCACCATGTTGGCCAGGCTGGTTTTGAACTCCCTACCTCAGGTGATCCGCCCACCTCGGCCTCTGAGAGTGCTGGGATTACAGGTGCAATGGCGCAATCTAGGCTCACTGCAGCCTCTGCCTCCCGGGTTCAAGTGATTCTCCCGGCCCGGCCTGGCCTCTAATTTAAAAAAAATTTTTTTTTTTTAAAGTTCCTCAGGTAGGCCAGGCGCAGTCGTCACGCCTGTAATCCCAGCACTTTGGGAGACTGAGGCGAGCGGATCACCTGAGGTCAGGAGTTCGACACCAGCCTGGCCAACATGGTGAAACCCCGTCTCTACTAAAAATACAAAAATTAGTCGGGCGTGGTGGCGGGCGCCTGTAATCCCAGCTACTCGGGAGGCTGAGGCGGGAGAATCACTTGAACCCCGGGAGGCAGAGGCTGCAGTGAGCCTAGATTGTGCCACTGCTCTCCAGCCTGGGGGACAAGAGCAAGTCTTCGTCTCAACAACAACAACAATAACAACAAGTTCCTCAGGTGACTCTGATGTGCAGCCAAGTTGGAAAGTCATCGCTAGATCCGCGGTGTGCAAAGTGAACTGCGGACCGTGGACTGCGGCACTTGTTAGAAAAGCAGAATTTGCATTTTAACACATTCCTAGGTGATTCCGGAGATGTCTGAGAAGCGATACTTTGTCCAGGGGCCACAGTTTGAATAGCAGAGCTCTAGAACAATAACTCTAGGCTTCATTCCCGTTGTCTGTGTGTGGGCCTACGAATATGCATTTTCGCAAGCATTCCTCCTCCCCCTTGCCTCAGACCATTCTGATGCGGGTGGTGCTGAACGGCTCCATCCTCCTTCACGTTCACCTCTCCCTGGGATTTATCTTACTTTCCACCACCTAGACAGGAAGGGGCGAATCTGGCTTCCCATCTCGGTTGTGTGACCCTGGGCAAATGCCTCCCAGTTCGTGGAAGTCTCAGTGTCTAGTAAGTTTTCAATCACAAGTCATTCCTCACATTCATTCATCTATTCCTTTGACAAATGGTTACTGACTACTTCCTGCGTGCTAAGTGCTGGAGATGCAAAATCCAGACAGGGAAACCGAATAATTACGAAAATGACGGTAGACGTACAAAAATAAATCCTAACGAACAAGGCGCGCAGGAGCGCTCCGCCCGGGAGGGAGGTCAGGGAAGTTTTCTCTCCAAGAAGACAACAGAGCTGAGACCTGAAACGAGCAGGCATTAGGGAGCCACCCGTCTCCTCTGTACCTTCTGCAGCGTCCTCAACACACTAAGGAAGCGGAGACGCAGAGGAGAATGACTGTCCTACCATCTGGTCGCCTAACCAGGCAGGGGCAGGACAAAAACTCCATGCCTCACGCTTCCCAACCAATTCTGCTATGCACGGTGCCAGAGACTTAAAGCAGTGTCTCTGGTCCCTTTCTTCTTTCACTCAGCAAATAATGAATTTCAGAGATGTGCCAACATAGAGGCACTTGGAGAAAGACGAGGCAGCTGAGAGGGAAGCTGCTTACCTGGCCGGGACGCAACGGTTGCGACCAAGTCCCACTTCTGCCAGCTACATACACCCTCTTTCACACGCTCTACGAGCAGCTACCGCCCACTCGCCACGCTATTGGTCAAACTAGCATGAATGATAACTTTTAGGGCCAACGAAGAAAAAGGGGTGGACTTTCTTGCCCAGCTCCTCCCACTTGGCCCTGTGGCTGTTTTGATTGGCAGATGACTTCGGCTCGGCCCCCGCTTTAAAGGCACCTGTCTGTCTCCCATTAGGTACGCGGCCCCTAACGCCCACACTCCATGCCTTCCTCCGCTTTCCCCACCCACTTCCAGGACCAACCAATGACTTCAAGGCAGAATATGCCCCCGCAACCAATTAAAAAGAGCTCTAAACTTGACGGACGACTTCCCGCCCCTGGACTGTCGTAGCTCCTCCCCCAGACCAATTGTTTTAAGAGAGGGGGGCGGATACATCCAATCAGCACGACACAGGTCTCTTGATTGACGTTCGGGTCCTCGCGCTGGCGTGTTGTGCCCTGAGGCGGGAGGAGGAGGAGGAGCGGGGAGGAAAACCTGAGCCAATCCTAGCAGCCTGCGCGGGAGGCCAATCGAACGCCGCGCCTTGGAGCGATCACCCAATCCGCGAAAGGGGGCAGGGCGCATCCCTGCCAGGAACCAATAGAAAGCCTCCAAGGGTCAGGAGCGACGTTCAGCAGGAGCAATGACTGGCCTATATTCGGGACTCGGGGGCGGGTCGGCGCCAGAGACGAGAAGAGAGGAGGGGAGGCCTCCTCCGCCGCCGCCATCTTGGACCGGGCCCGGTCAGCTTCCGCGGAGCCATCGGCAGACGCCGCGGCCTCCCTTGAGCCCCGACCCCCGTCGTCAGAACAACCCCGGGCCCACTCCCCCAACCCCACTTCCGCTTCGCGCCGCTATCGCGATAGCGCCCGGGCCCGGGGCGCGAGAAAAAGGCGGCGGGCGCTCGCCTCCCCCGCCTGTCGCGATACGCTCCTCAGCGGCGGCGCCAGCTCCTGTGGTGAGAGCGTCAGGCTCGACTGGGCCGGACCCCTTCCCTTCCTCCCCCCGGCGCCATCGGCCGCCCTCCCCGCCGCCTCCCGCCCTGGCGACACCGCCGTCTGTCGCGACATGGCCTCCCCTCGCCTGCCCCCTGCCGCCGCCTCTGCAGCGCGGGGCTCCCGGCGGGGGGCGGCTCCCTCCCTCTCGCCCTCCCGTTCCTGCGCCTCTTTCACGTTCCTCAGCGCCTCCCGGGGGTCCTTCCGCGACCCGGACCCCGGGCCCCGCCCGCCGCCGCCTCCCCGCGTGGCATCGCGTCGGGCCCCCCGGTAGGGGTGTGAGGGTGCGAAGCCTCCCGGGCGCGAGGTGCCCGCCCCTCTCCGCGTCGGTATTGGCTCCTGGCTGGAAGGATGGAGGCGCCCCTGGTCCCAGGTGCCCGCCCTCTCGGGGCTCAGGTGCCTGCCCCCCTCGGCCTCGGTCCTTCGCGTTGTGGGGCAGCCTCCGCGCCGGGGCTTCTCCCTCGACGGTGGCGGGGAGGGGGGGTGGTGGTCGGGACGAGGACCCCAGCTGGGTGGGGGAGTCACCCTTCCCAGGACCGAGGCCGCCCTCCGCATCCCTCCTCACTGCTCCCGGGAGCGCAGCCTCCCCTGGATCTCAGGTTCCAGCTGCCCGTCTGTATCGGATGGGAGCCTCTTGGGAGAGGAGTGGAGGAGAAACTCCCCGTTAGTTGGAGCCTTTGCCGAAGTTTCCACCTCTGTAGTCTGCAGCTCTTCCCTCTCATAGCGAGTAGCGCCCTGGGTGGCTCCAGCCTCGCCATCCCGCTGCACTGGGCGCCTGCCTTTTTGGGGGAGTTTGGCTTTCCCCCACCTGGGGTACAGGACCGTCCTCAGTGTGGCCCACGTCTGGTCTCAGCTCTCACACTTCTTTGATCCTGGCGTCTGCCCCTGGCTTTGCAGCCTTGAACTCCCCTGCATCGTGACTCTCCGACCTTCTGGGTGTGGGCGTCTCCCAGTGATATCAGGACCACTGTGGTCTTGTTGCTGGGGGCTGCTGGGATCCCCTGGCGCTCAGGTGCCTGGTGAAAGACACTAAGCCGCCACGCTGTCCATGTTAGTGAGCTCCCACTGCGGGCAGCACCAGCCCCTCTTTCTGAGCAGTCCCTGCCTCTCAGTGCAGGGCGGCCACCCACCCCGGGGTGAGCTCTCCTGTCCTTTTGGTGAGGGGTTTTGATGTCTCCCCTCCCTCCCTTCACCCCTGCCTGAGTATGAGGCTTCTTCCATCTTCACACCAGTCTCCTCCTTTAGGGTGTCAGCTCTCCAAGGACCAAGAAGCCCACTGCCCTTGATATTTGCATCAGATCCCACACTGTGGGTTTGTTGACTTCCCATCTACCCTTACGCTGGGTGTCAGCAGTTGGAGAACAAGGGTTTCGCCTTCTGGCCCCGCTGCTGGTACCCCATGAGAGTAGGAAGCTTCCTAGACCCGGGTTCCTGTACTGCGAGGTGGGGGCTCTTCCCTCTGGGGCTGTGCCTTCTCTCCAGGGTAAGGACCCTTTCTTGGTGTCACCTCCCCCAGGGATAAGGTTCTTGCCATCCTTGGTATTGGTATGGCTGCTTTTCTGGATTTGAGGTGTCCACGCCTCTGCATGTGTCCCCACCGTAAGGCTGAGGACCCCTCTCGGATGCAGGTGCCCCCGGCTCATGCTTCCAAAACCCCCTCTTGATTTGTCACTGTATGGGGTAAGGCATAGTTTCCTGGCTGTGTGGATGTAAGATACCTGAGTCTCAAGCGGGAGACTCCACTGTAGACCCTGTCCCTGGGACCAGAGACTTCTCTGGTGTAGACTTTCCAAGGTGGGAGATTCCAGCCCCCCACCCTTGGCATGGGGCATCTCAGTGGAGATGACTACCTCTACCCCAGGCCCTAACGCATCCTTCTTCTGGAGTCTCAGAGCCTCTGTGTGGCCACGTCAGCAGCCACCTGGGTTAAGGATCACCCTTCAACATCACTTCTCAGAGCTCCTTGCTGCAGAGGCGGAAGCTCTCCCAGATCAAAGGTGCCTCATGACAAAGACCACTCTGTGGGCACATGACGGCCCCCAAGGTTAAGGACCACCCGGTGTTAGTTTCCCAGGGCTGACCTCCTGCCCCTCCCTCCTCGAGTCTTTGTGTGGTGGTATCATCTTCCCTGAGATGAAGTCTGGGGGGCTCTTCTTTACTGGTTTTGGCTCTGATTTTAGCGTGTTGGCTCCTGTGAGGCTGGTGTCCTGCTCACCTCCCCCCGCCCCGCCACCCGCCTTGTGGGTCCCTTCCCTGTGGGGATGTGTGTTCCTCTTGGGTAAGTCTCCTCCTGGGCCGAGGTTCCCAGATTCCTCAGTGCTCTTGGAGAGCCTTTGCTGCTGGAGCACAGGTTCTTCACGCCTGAGAGTGGACCTGCGATCACCACCTTCCTTGGAGGATCTTGGTGGATGCCCCCCTGACTACAGCAAATGGGGCTCTTTCTTCTCTGGCGGCGTCTCTGCTTCGAGACTCAGGCTCCAGCTTCCCTTCTCTCTGGTCCTTTGCTGGGGGGACCAGAGGTACAGATACCCTCATGATATAAGGATTTTCTTAGCGGGGAAGGTGTTGTCTCTACTGTGGCTAAGGCTCCAGCCTCTCTAGGGGACAAGTACCCTGGGCCTCTGGCACTTGCCCCTTCTCTGTGGAGGAGCTGCCTCCTCACTGGGTCTCAGCTGTAGCCGACTTCGATGTCACACTGTTCTGTCTGAAACATCACCTCCCTGGGTTAGCGCTCTTGTTCCCCTCCTTCTGGCTTGTGACCCCTCCAGGACTTCCTTCTCTTGCTGCCACAGTGTGGTCTCCTCTCTGTGGGTATTCTTCCTCTGCACTAGGATACCAGTCCTTTCCGTGTGGAGACACAGGGAGGGCGTCACCTGCCTAAGGTGTTGATTGCCTTGTTTAGGGGTGTAGACCATGAGACCTCTTCTCTCTCTGGGCTGGAGCACCTGCCCATGACCCTCTGTTGGGTTCTTGGGATGGAAAGAGGGAGTGTAAACTCTCGTTTCACATTCTTGTTCCCCCTATGCAGTAAGAGGCTTTTCTGTGTTGGGGTGTTGGACTTTGGTGAGGATCCCTGCACACCTGAGCTCTGGTGTCCAGGCCCTTGCCTTGTGTGAGCTCCCTGGGTCAAAGGGGCTTTCCCCTCCTCAGCCTGAATCCCCACTGTGGCACCTTCTCCTGGGTCCTTTTGTTGGTTGCTTTGCCTTCTTAGAGATTCCCCAGGTAGGGCGTGATAGCTGACCTGGGCGGGGGCTGCTGCGGCTTTCTTTAGGTTGGGCCTTTTACTGAGGAGATTTAAATTCCCTCAAGTGTAAGGTAGCACCCCTACCTATTATCACCCAGAATGGGTCCCTGCGGTGTTGGGAAAATTCTCCCTGGGGGTAAGGTACCAGCCCTGTCCTTTATGGGCTTCTTGTTCTAAAGCATATCCGTCCCATATGGTTGCTGCTAGTCACATGTGGTGATTAGTAACTAGTTAAAAATGAAAAATTCAGTTCCTCCATTACACTTGCCACATTTCAGATGTTCAGTGGCCAACAGATATGCGCAAATAGAGTGTTTCCAGCATTGCAAAGTTCTGTTGGATAGCACTGTTTGCCAGATGTTCCCTTCTTTGTGGGTGAGGACTCTTTTGGTGTGACTTCCCTCTGTATTGAGGCTCTTGTTCCTCAGTATGGGGCTGTTTCTGTCTTTACAGTAAGTGACTACTCCAGGGTTCCCTGCCCTGCACACGTAGAGTGGGAGCGGCCCGTGGATCCCAGGGAACTGTGCTTTTCATTGTAGGCCCCCTCCCTGGAGGGGAAGAGGGCAATCTCCGCTGGTATCTCAGAAGTCTTCTTCTGAGGCATAAGCCTCTCTTCCCAGGGCTCCCCTGGTCTCGCTGTCAGGCCCTAAGGTATGTCTTCCCTTGGACTAAAGCTCCTTGGAACTCCCTTTTGACCTCAGTCTTCTCTGGGTTCCAGGTAACTTCCTTTAAAATAAAGACGCTCCTCTCTTGAAGTTTTGGGTTCCTGCCCTGATGGTCTATGTCTCCCTGACTCTAAATTACCAATCCACTTGCTATGGGATTCCTCCATGAGTGCAGATCGGCTCCCTCACAGCTGCGGTACCTTTGCACCCTCTTATCTTAGTAAGATTTCTGTCTTCTCCCAGGTCTCTCTTGGGTACTGCCTTCTGCCCCCAAATCTCTAAGCCTTCTTGGTATTAGCTTCTTTGGGTTAGGAGTGTTATTTCCTTTTGGTTTAAGGATCCTGCTCTGGAATAAATGTCTTGGTGGTTTGAGTCCCTTCTACTTGGCATTCAGCCCTGTCTGCATGAGCGGGTTCAGCTCTTCACAGCTTTCGGCATCTCTGCTCGCCGTCGTTTTCCCCCACCCCCAATCTTTCTTCTCCTACCTACAGCTTACACACACACACACACACACACACACACACACACACACGCCCTTCTCTGTGAGCTGCCAGTTTCATTTGTCTCCTGACTTGTCTGAGGGATGACCTCTCCTAGCCACCTCTGCCCAGCCCCTCTGAGTAGGAAGTGTGATTTCCAGGGCTAATGCCTCCATCCCAGTCATCAGCTGTGTGCAGCATGACTGTCCTGCTCTGAAAAACCTTTTTGAGTGTATTCTGGGGAGAAGGTACTCCATGCTCTAGGAATTTTCCACTTCCTGAGTCAGAGGCACACAAAAAAGTATGTAACTTTTCTTGTTTCAACAAACTTATGGGGTCCCCTGTTGGCCAGACACTATGCTGGGCAGTCAAGCGAGCATCAGGAGAACTGGGGCTGGTCTCTTGTCAGATAGCAAATGCTTCTTCTCTTTACCAGTCCCACCTACCTCACTATGCTGACTAGGTCCATGTCTCTGGGTTTTTACCAGCCAGGGAATACGTGTTAATTCCTCTCCAATCTCTCCTAGCAGCGTCCGTCTCCAAGAGAGTATGAAGAGAGTGCGTCTGTAGGGCAGGGAAGATGGCGGACAAGCGCAAACTCCAAGGTACTAGACTGACTTCCTGCTGCACCTGTAGCCACATGCTCCCTCTTCTGAGGACTGCTCTTTAGATACCTGCCACCTGGGCAGGATTCTCACAGCCTTGTTCCTCCCTGGCCAGGTGAGATTGATCGCTGCCTCAAGAAGGTGTCCGAGGGCGTGGAGCAGTTTGAAGATATTTGGCAGAAGGTACAGGGGCTGAGACCCTAATAATCTGGGTCTTCAGAGAGGAGGGCACAGGAAGGCGGCTCAGGACCTCTGGGTGTTGACCAGCGGGAGGGGCTACATATGCAGATGCTGAGGACCTAAGAGAATCAGCTCTAAGATGGATTGGGGGTAGGGGTTGGGGGGGGTCCTCGAGTCCCTAGCATAAGGAAGAATCACTGGAGTGGGTACTGGGACATCCCCTCCCACACTGACTTCTCAATTCTCTCCATCCCTCAGCTCCACAATGCAGCCAACGCGAACCAGAAAGAAAAGTATGAGGCTGACCTAAAGAAGGAGATTAAGAAGCTACAAGTGAGGGGGCTGGGGGCCTGGACGCCTTTGTCCTGAGGGTAGAGGGAACTGGGAGAGTGGACTGCTGGGTCCCAGGGAGAAGGAGCTGTGGGCCCCAGTTCCTGGGTCCTGAGGTCTGACTTTCTTGCTTTTCCCATCTGCAGCGGCTGAGGGACCAAATCAAGACATGGGTAGCGTCCAACGAGATCAAGGACAAGAGGCAGCTTATAGACAACCGCAAGCTCATTGAGACGGTAGGAGCCCAGAGCCTGAGTCCCAGAGAGGTGGGAAGGTCACCAGATTCTTGAGATCCCAAGGGGCGGAGGCAGAGCGGCCAGACCCCAGAGGTCCTCAAGAGAAGTAAGGTTTCTGCACCTAAGGGAAGTGAAGAGGCAGCGGACTCAGAGCTCAGAAAGTAGGGTCACGAGGCTCAGGTCGGAGTGTCTGCTGGCCCTTAGTCAGCTCCTTTCCCACCTTTGAGAGCCCCCCTGCCAACTGCACTCTCTACAGCAAATGGAACGGTTCAAAGTTGTGGAACGAGAGACCAAAACCAAAGCTTACAGCAAAGAGGGCCTGGGCCTGGCCCAGAAGGTAGATCCTGCCCAGAAGGAGAAGGAAGAGGTTGGCCAGTGGCTCACGGTGAGTTGGGGTAGAGAAGAGGAGGTGAACTCTGAGGATCCTGAGCCCTGGGTGTAGGCGGAACCCTAGCTGATGGGCTTCCTCTTCCTCTCCCTCCCCTAGAATACCATCGACACGCTCAACATGCAGGTGGACCAGTTTGAGAGTGAAGTGGAGTCACTGTCAGTGCAGACACGCAAGAAGAAGGGCGACAAGGATGTGAGTGAGGGAGACCCGACACCTTTGGGATGGGGATGGGCATGGGAATGGGCTGGCCAGCAGGAGGCCAGTCATTTATGCTCCTGGGAGTTGGGGCCTGGATTCCTCAGGCGGACAGGGCCAACAGCCGGGATTAGGGATTTGAGAGACAGGATTGGGAGGGCTTAGCAGCTGCACGCGTGGGGCAGGAAGGAGGTCAGACAGAATCTCAGGGTCCCCTGGGTGTCTGGGTAGACCGTGGGGCCTTTGTGAAGAGGAGCGACTTGGGGGAAGGTGAGTGCAGGTTGAGCTTGGGCCACAGAGTAAAAGTGAGACCTGAAGGACACCCATGGCAAGAGGCCTCCTGGCACCCAGAGGGCCCTGGTCCTAGGGAGAGCACAGTGGGTAGAGACAAGGCAGAACATGGAGAAGGCAGAGAACCAGGCCTGAAGGAAGACAGGAGTCTGGGACAAAGCTGGATGTTGGGGTCCCAGGTTCTAAAATCCGGGATTGTGGGGTATGAGTTCAAAGGGATACAAACTGTACAGACTTGCTGAAACCAGAAAGACAGGGAGGGGAGAGCCGGGTCCTCAGGGAAGCTGTGGGTGGGAGAGGGTCAGGAAGTGGAAGATGACAGGGTTGGGTGTCAGACTCTGAGGGGTTTGGGAACCAGGGGCTTTCGGGGAGATGATGGGTCCTTGAACAGAGCAGAGATTTGGAACCAAGGCTAAGATGTTAAATCCTAAAGGGGCCTTGAGGGGAGGGCAGGAGCGAGGCTTAGGAATCTGGGCTCTCTCAGGGATAAATGGGTAGGGTTGGGGGCCTAGTGATGACAGATATCACAATTCTAAACAGCAAGCTCCTCACAAATGGGGGTTATCATTGTTACTGCTGGAGCAGGTCGGAGGGTATCTGTATGCCAGAGGCAGTCACAGTGGTGGGCGGGCTCAGTTGAGAAATCTGGGCTGTCAGGTGAGGTGCAGATGGAGGCCAAGTCGTGGGATGGCACAAGGACCTCTGGGTCTTTTAGAGGTTTCCAAGGACTCCTGGAGCCAGAAAGGTGTGGGGAGAGGAGGGAGCAGTGGGATCCCAAGATGTCAAGGCTAAGATTGGTCCCCACAGGGCTCAGAGGGTGGGTGGACCCCATACTGCCCCACCCCGAAGGGGATGGCGTGGAGGCTTTGGGTCTCCACAGGGGTCAGGGACTGAGGACAGGTTCTGTGGGGGCAGGAGGGGCCAAGCAGGTGCTCTGCAGCCCCTGAGCCTGGCCCTGGGCTCGCCAGCAGAAGCAGGACCGGATTGAGGGCTTGAAGCGGCACATCGAGAAGCACCGCTACCACGTGCGCATGCTAGAGACCATCCTGCGCATGCTGGACAATGACTCCATCCTCGTTGACGCCATCCGCAAGATCAAGGACGACGTTGAGTACTATGTTGACTCATCCCAGGACCCCGACTTCGAGGAGAACGAGTTTCTCTACGATGACCTGGACCTCGAGGACATTCGTGAGGCCCTGGGGCTGATCGTGGCACAGGAAGTGAGGGCCCAGAATGGGCTGTGTGAGCCAGCTAAGCATGCCCTTCTTCTGCCCCCACAGCACAGGCGCTGGTCGCCACCTCCCCTCCCAGCCACAGCCACATGGAGGATGAGATCTTCAACCAGTCCAGCAGCACGCCCACCTCAACCACCTCCAGCTCTCCCATCCCGCCCAGCCCAGCCAACTGTACCACGGTGAGGCCCCACGGGACACTAGTACCTTGTGTTTCCAGCAGGGCAGGACTCGAGGAGACAAATCTGGGTCACTCCAAAGTGGCTATGGGAGCGTAATTGAGGAAACACAGATCTAGGTATCCAGGGTCTAGGCTCTTGGAGCACACGCTAAGGTCCTATATCTGGGTCCCTAAAGGACATAAAGAGCAATAGGGTGCATCCCGCGCCAGTTTAGGTCCTGGATCTGGGAAGTGGGAGGGGCCGGTGCCTGGGCTGCCTGAGGAGGCTGGGTAGCTGGCCACCTTGGGCAGGGATCCAAGGGTTGGCTTCCCTGTGGAGAGCAGGTTCCCAGATCCTTAAGAGGCTGGTGGGTCAGTGCTGGCTCCCAGAAAACAAGAAGACTGGAGAGCCTGAATTGAGATGGTTTCTCCAGGCAGATTAAGGACAGCCATTTGACCAGCTCTGGGGCCGCAATGGCAGTCAATTGGGCCCAGGTCCCCGGGGCATTCAGAGATTGGCGGTTCTCCATCAGAGCCCCAGAGGTCACACAGGTTTCTATTCTGCCTCCCCTACCTCAGGAAAACTCTGAAGATGATAAGAAGAGGGGACGTTCCACAGACAGTGAAGTCAGCCAGGTGGGTGTGAGCCTGGACCGGGTGGGCACGCCATTCACTCCTCTGTTGCTTCCCAAAGGCATCTTGAGGCCTGAGCGCCGGCCACTGTGCTGGGCTGGTGGACACAGGTGGCTCAGAAATCAGTGCTGCCCTGAGGGCAGGTGGGCAGGGCAAGTGGACAGGTGACTGGTGCTGTGGTCAAGGGGGTAGCACACAGGTCACCCTTGGCCTGGCCAGGCAGTCAGGAGATGCTGCTGTGGAGTGCCCTGGGCTTCACAGTCAGGTGAGTTTGCCTGGCAGGGAGAGGTGGCAGCCAGTAACATGGGCAAGTTGTGACAGAAAGTTTGGAAGTGAGGAGAGATGAGTCTGGCCAGGTCTGCAGGGCCAGGGCCCAACTGTGAGCACAGGGACTGGGACTGTCAGGCTGAGGGGCTCAGGCTTTGTGGACCTGAGTGGCCTCCAGAGTCCAATAAGCCTAGGAAGCGATGGGGCCTTTGCTGTGCTGATAATACACACTGCAAATTTCTGAGAGGAGACGGTGGCGGGCAGTGCTTCTTCAACTCCTTTAACATCTCCCAGGACAGGAGCACGCTTTCGGAAACGCTGCTACAGAACAATGTTAGGCAGGAGCAGCATGGGCCTGAGGCCCCTCTGTGGGCTAACGGGATGGATGGTTCCAAGGGGACACCCTGAGTGGGCATTGAGGAGGCTGGTGTGGAGACTAAGGGGACCCGCAGGTAGTAGTGAGGGCGGGCAACAGGGCCAGGAGGTGATGAGGAGAGACACTGAGGCAGGTACTCCAGGGGCCAGGCTGGGCTCTGCCACCTTCCCAGGCCCCCACTGCCAAGCAGCGATGCCCAGGAGAGAAGTGGGTAGTCAGTCCTGTTGGGCGCTTGGTAAGCGCAAGGTGCCTGTGGGGTGGCTGGAAAGAAGCCCAGGAGGTGGTTAGGCTCAGCAGCCGGAGTGCTGTCCACAGATTGCCTGCGGTAGGGATACCATGAGCACATTTACCCTCCCACCACTTTCTGGAGTGCTGGTAACTTCCAGCCCTGTGAGTAGCTTCTGTGACCCTTCAGGTGACATTCAGAATTACTATCCAATTTCCAGCTGTTTTTCCTTCTACTCTTGGACATTAGGCGGCTCCAGCTAATCTCATATTGAGAACACTTAAGTGTTTCCCACTAGTCCTCTGGCTTCCAACAGATGGATCTTCTCTGGCTGACAACCTAAGTTGTGTGTCAGATCCCTGTGGGGGTGTCCATGGGGCGGTGTCCAGGCAGGACTTGGGAAGCTGGGCAGGCTGGAAATCAGTGTGAGTGTTTTAAGCATGAAGGTGATTGAAGCCATGAGGGTGAGTAAGGTCACCCAGGTCCCCAAGAGGGCAGGAGCAGGTGGGGGCAGCGAGGCCAGAGAGGAGGCTGCTGGGACAAAGATGGAGCCTGAGGTGGGGGTGGTGAGGGAGACCAGCTGGCCCACTGGGTCCTGACCCTCTGCTCTCTCCCACCCGCAGTCTCCAGCCAAAAACGGCTCCAAGCCTGTCCACAGCAACCAGCACCCTCAGTCCCCAGCTGTGCCGCCCACCTACCCCTCCGGCCCCCCGCCTGCTGCCTCTGCCTTGAGCACCACTCCTGGCAACAATGGGGTCCCCGCCCCCGCAGCACCCCCAAGTGCCCTGGGCCCCAAGGCCAGTCCAGCTCCCAGCCACAACTCGGGCACCCCTGCTCCCTATGCCCAGGCTGTGGCCCCACCAGCTCCCAGTGGGCCCAGCACGACCCAGCCCCGGCCCCCCAGCGTCCAGCCTAGCGGAGGCGGAGGCGGCGGCAGCGGAGGTGGAGGGAGCAGCAGCAGTAGTAACAGCAGTGCCGGTGGAGGGGCTGGCAAGCAGAATGGCGCCACCAGTGAGTGAGGAGGCAGCGGGGTGGGGGGCGTGGGCGGGGCTGGGCAGCAGGCAGCAGCCCTTTCCATTTACTCTTTGTTCCCAGGTTACAGCTCAGTTGTGGCAGACAGCCCGGCAGAGGTGGCTTTGAGCAGCAGTGGGGGCAACAATGCCAGCAGCCAGGCCTTGGGCCCCCCTTCCGGCCCCCACAACCCACCTCCCAGCACCTCGTGAGTGTCTCGGCCATCGGCAGGGTTGGGATGGCAGCCTTTTGAAACAGAGAGGCGCAGGCGCCTCACCCCCGCATCGGTGGGTTCTGAACCCCCCGCCCTTGCTGCTGGGAATGGCCAAGCGCTATCCTCCATCTCCCTCGGGTGTTACACCCCCACTTCTTTCCAGCAAGGAAACTACATCAGCCTCCCTGCTTTGCCCTTCAGAACATTCTAAAATACGTTCTCATCTAAGTGGAAGTTTTCTCAAGAGCCCCATACCCTTTCCTCCCCATTTCTGTTACCTGCCTGAGGCCAATTGACTGCCACCGGAGGGTCACTGTTTCACTTTTCAAAGTGAATTGTCCCGAAGTCCTTATTCCTCTGCAGCCACTCCTTCAAATCTTAGCTCAGACCATTCCACTGGGTCTGCCTGTTTCCCGAAGAATGCCCTAAGAAAGATCAGTGTGCACAAAGGAAAGGCCTGCTTCCTGCCCCCTCACCCCAGCTCCAGCTGGCCTGCCCAAGGGGGAGTGGGCCCTGTGAACACCTGCCCAGGGCAAGTGGTTTTGATCAGCCTGTGGCCTGGTGGAGCACCCGAGAATCCTCACCCCCACCCCCACAGCTCTGCTCTGCTGATGAGAAACCATTCCAAAGATTGGGCTCTGCCTTTGTTTGCCCAGAGAACCACTTCTTTCTCCCATCTGTCTGCCCTCACCTGCCCCTCTCAGATCCCATCTGATCTGTGCAGTCTCCCCTCTCTCCAGCCAGGCCTCTCTGCCCATCCCACCCTCAGGGACCCTCCTCTCAACCCCCTCTTCCATGCTCTCTCTCCAGGAAGGAACCCAGTGCGGCAGCCCCAACGGGGGCTGGGGGCGTGGCCCCAGGCTCAGGGAACAACTCAGGGGGACCCAGCCTCCTGGTGCCACTGCCTGTGAATCCTCCCAGCTCCCCAACGCCCAGCTTCAGTGATGCCAAGGCAGCCGGTGCCCTGCTCAATGGGCCTCCACAGTTCAGCACCGCCCCAGAAATCAAGGTGGGCTCCTCGGACATCCCCCGAGCCTCTGTGTCCTGACTCTGTTGTTTCTTTCCTCCAGGTCTCTAGCTGCACCCCCTGCCCCCACCCTCTTTCTGGATCTCTTTCTCTGGCTTTCTGTCCCCTTCTCACACTTGCTCTTTCTCCAGGTCTTTCTGTACCACCCTCCCCGTGACCTTGATCTCTGGGGGCTCTCATACCTCCTCTCTTGTTCCCTCCAAAGCTCTGTTTCTCTGGGTCTCTTTTCCTTTCTCTTGGTTGCACTTGTTGCTTGCTCTCTCTGGGTCTCCATCTTCATCCCCCCCGCAGGCCCTCAGTTTCTGTCCCCGTTTGTCCTCACAAGGCATAGACTGGTGTACTTTCTGCACAAGTAGAAAGACTGGTTGGGTGAATGCAGCCTGGTTCCACCCTTTAGGAAGCTTCCCTGCTGGGGCAGCTGCAGGGAAGGTTGCGGTGGGCCCACCGAGGGGCATCTGACCTGACCTGGGAGACAGGCCCAGGAAGGTCTGAGAGGGGGTGATGTTTAAGCTGAGACCTGGACCAGGCAGGGGGGCTAACAGCTGCAGGAAGGGCTTCAGGAGGTGCTTTAGGAGGAGCATGCATCTGCCTGTGTGCTTAGGAAGCTGGGCAGGATGCAGCAGAGAGGAGAGAGGTGTCCACTCTGCAGGAGACAGTGCCACCAGCTGCAGGGCTGAGATAGTGGGTGTAGCAGGATAGGACGGTGGGGTCCTGATCATCGAGGGTCAGGAGCTGGGGCTTGGCTTGTGAGCCAGTATACTGTAGCGCAGCTTCCATGGGGGGACCAGTGTGTATGCCCAGGCTGTCCAGGAGGCAGTGTGCGCGCCCAGGCTGTCCAGGAGGCAGTGTGCGCGCCCAGGCTGTCCAGGTCCAAGTCTTGGCATTGTCCTTTCTGTGCCTTCATCTGGGAAACGGCAATAGTCACGATTATACCTACTATGTAGGGTTATTTGGAAGACTAAATCATCCTCATAAAGCTCTTGGAACAGTTTCTGGCCCAACAGAAGCATTAATTTTTTTTTTTTTTCTTTTTTGAGACAGAGTCTTGCTCTGTCACCCAGGCTGGAGTGCAGTGGTGCAATCTCAGCTGAATGCAACATCCGCCTCCTGGGTTCAAGCGATTCTCCTGCCGCAGCCTACTGAGTAGCTGGGATTACAGGCGCCTGCCACCACGCCAGGCTAATTTTTATATTTTTAATAGAGATGGGGTTTTGCCATGTTGGTCAGGCAGGTCTTGAACTCCGAACCTCAGGTGATCCACCCACCTCGACCTCCCAAAGTGCTGGGATTACAGGTGTGAGCCACCGTGCCCGGCCCAAATTTTAGAAGTAGGTGGACAGGATATTTATAGTGCGTGCATTTTTCTGGAAAAAGGGAAACAGCAGCTTTGAGATTTTCAGAAGGGGTCCATATCTTTTAACACCACCAACAACAAAAATGAATCGCTGGGGTGGGTGGTCGGGAACCATGGCAAGGTTTGGAGTAGAGAAGGAACAACATGACTTCATTGGAAAGGTCCCCTGGGGCTGGTGAGGACAGGATAGAGGGAGGGTGGTCTGGGCAGGAGAGGACAGGCCTGGGCTGTGTGGGACATGGTGGCACGACAGGGAAGGGAGCCATCCAGTGGGGTTTAGAAGCAGGACGGATAGCTGGGCGTGGTGGCTCACACCTGTAATCCCAGCTCTTAGGGAGGCAGAGGCGGGAGGATAGCTTGAGCCCAGGAGTTTGAGACCTGCCTGGGCGATATAGCGAGACAGAATGGATAAGCCTTGGCGACTGACTCGTTGTGGAGAGTCCAGCACAGGGCTGGGGTTTGGGACAGCTGCACGTGGCTGGAGGAGATGGGAGGAACCAGCCCTGACTTTGGGGAACAGAAGCCTGCTGTAACCTTTGTAATAGGAAACGAGGCTGTGGCTGCGGGGCTGGAGACCCAACCTACCTGTTTCCAGCAAGGAGACTGAAGCCTAGCCGGGCTGGGCCCACCCCGATTCCAGTCACCCCATGCCAGTCACAGGCAGACAGCTGAGCATGTAGACCTCCTGCCTCCTTCAAGACAGGCGGGAGCTCTCCCAGCGTGTAGGTGTCCCTAGTGAAGGAGCGTGTACTATTGGCACATCCTTTGACAAAAATGGTAGCGCACTGTACATATTCTGCAGGTTGGCGTTTACTTCTGTAGTATGTCACGAACTTGTATTTTGAAAATCTCGGCGTAGTATTCCATGCTGCAGAGTCCCACTCACGAGACGTTCCTCTGCTGATGAATGCGTCGTGGTCTCCGATTGTTTCCCTACAGTTTGATGCTTTTACCTGTCATGGGTAGATTGTGGGGAGTGGGTCGTTGGCCCTCCACGGCCCCCAAACAGGGCAGGTGAGAGCATCTGGGGCCTGTGTCAGGCTGCACTTGCTCCTGCAGCCCAAGTGCTCAGGCCAGGCCTCTTGTTTCCTCCCCAGGCCCCTGAGCCTCTGAGCTCCTTGAAGTCCATGGCGGAACGGGCAGCCATCAGCTCTGGCATTGAGGACCCTGTGCCAACGCTGCACCTGACCGAGCGAGGTGAGGGACCCAGGATGGTGGGGAAGCAGCGGGCCAAAGAGGAGGGGCTGCCCCTGACCCATCCTCACCACTGAGGGGGCCGGACCCCCACCCTCCCCACAGACATCATCCTGAGCAGTACATCAGCACCTCCGGCCTCAGCCCAGCCGCCCCTGCAGCTGTCAGAGGTGAACATACCGCTGTCGCTGGGTGTCTGTCCACTGGGCCCTGTGCCCCTCACCAAGGAGCAGCTCTATCAGCAGGCCATGGAAGAGGCCGCCTGGCACCACATGCCTCACCCCTCTGACTCTGAGCGTATTCGGTGAGGGGCCACAGGGAAGGGGGATGGTCTGGGACTTGAGTCTTACGGAGGAGGCAGTGGCTGAACCTGTGAGGCTGTGGGTAGAGCACCAGGCCCCTGACTTGGGCTCTCCACTGAAGGTCAGCACCGCCCTGGGTCTTTCTGTACCACCTCCCCCCGCAGGGATGCATGTCTGAGCACCCTTTTGATCACGACAGGACTAGTAGGCAGCTGGCACTGACCTTCCTGTTGCTCTCACAGGCAGTACCTCCCCCGGAACCCCTGTCCGACGCCCCCCTACCACCACCAGATGCCACCCCCACACTCGGACACTGTGGAATTCTACCAGCGCCTGTCGACCGAGACACTCTTCTTCATCTTCTACTATCTGGAGGTACAGCAGGGCCCCCGGGGCAGCCTCGGGCCCCCCGGCTTCGCCGCCACCGCCGCCGTCCCCCCTCGGGCTGGAGGGGTGAGGTGGGTGCCCCACTGCGGCCACTGGGACCGCACCCCCTCCCTATTCCCACTCCTGGGCCCCTGCCCCAAATCCACCTGTCCCCGTCCCCGCCTTCCAGCCCAGAGATGTTAGAACTGCTTGGGTTGACAGCGAGGCTGGTCCACTGAGGCACACCTCAGCCCCGCTTCCAGTTGCCCACTGGCTCACCCGCGGCCCCTCCCCAGCCCTGCTCCAGCAGCCCCAGTCTAGGCCGACCCCACTCTGCTCATCGGCACATTCTCAGGCCTCCCTGGAGACCACTGGGGAGCTGTCCAGCCCCCTCCCAACCCCAGTGAGTCATGAGTGACCTCCACCCTCATCCCCACTTGGGAAATTTTCTAAATTGCCTCCTCTCTCAGCTCTCATCACACATTAGTTTTTCTTCCTTCTCAAAGCTTCTCTGAAAGCAATTTTCACCTCCTGTCTCATTTTCCTTCTCCTGATCAGCATTGGTATGTTCTGTGCCCCCAGCCCCATCTCCAAGAGGATTGTCCAGCCCAACTGTGGTCTGTGGCGGGGGCCGGGGTTCAGCCCTGATGTCCTGCCCCATTCCCCTGGCTCCCCACCCAGTTTGGGGGCCCCCTGATCCCCCTCTCCACTGTTCCTCCCCCAGGGCACTAAGGCACAGTATCTGGCAGCCAAGGCCCTAAAGAAGCAGTCATGGCGATTCCACACCAAGTACATGATGTGGTTCCAGAGGCACGAGGAGCCCAAGACCATCACTGACGAGTTTGAGCAGGTGAGGGCCCCGCCCCCTCTCTTCCCGCTGCTAGGGTTGGGGTAGAGTCCCCAGGCTCCAGGCAGCCCCTGCTGGCCTCTGCTCCCTTGCCTCCACCTTTCAGCTGGCGCAGTCCCTCAGCCTGACCAAGTACTCCTCCCTCTGGCTGTCTGCTCAGCCTGGAACACCGCCCTCTCATCCTCCACTTGGCCAGCTCCTAGGCCTCCTGTAGGTCTCAGCCCAAATGTCCCTTCCTCAAAGAAACCTTCCTGGAGCCACCCAGCCCAGTGCCTCCCCTTTGCAGTGCTGGGCACACTCGCTTGGGGTGTGGGATTTTCCCAGTATGTGTCCCTGCACCAGGCTGTGGGCTCTGCTGCCGAGGGACCTTGATGGCCCCCACTTCACCTCCAGGTCCCAGCACTCAGCAGGGCAGGGGCTCAGTGCCGAAACTATTTTTTTTGAATGGGCTTCTCAAGTTCTAATACTGGGAAATTCCTGCTGCTTGCAAACACTCTGGAACCAACCTACCTGGGTTTCAGCCCAGTCCAGCTGGGCGACTCTAGGCAAGTCACTCGAACCTCTGTGTCTCAATTAACTTATCTGTAAAAATGGGGGGAAGACCACCTACCTAATGCAGTTGTTATGAAGATTAAATGAGTTAATAACATGTAAGTACTTAATGGTGACTGCTACATAGTCAGTGTCATGGATTTTTTTTTTCAAATTACTTTCAGTTGGTGTGTTCTACAGTGATGTTTTTTTCCACCAAATACTTCCCTGATGCCGAGCCCCTTCATGGGGATGAAGTAGTACAAGGTCCTTGTCCTCAGAGAACTCAGTCCCCTCTCCTGGTTCTCCCAGGTTGCCATCTTTGAAGCACTTAAGACATTCATTTAGAACCTAGGTCCTCTCCCATTGTGTCCTCAGATGTTAACCACAGACTTCCTGTCCTTTCCTGGTTTGGCCCAAAACCATCCTCCAAGTTAGTACATTTCAGGGCATCCAGTCATTCAGAAATTCCCACACCACTTCCGTCACCAATAAAATGTCCCTGCAGAGTGCTTGGATTTAGACTCTGAGACTGTTCCATTCTCTAGAACAAGGGTGACAGTACCCACTGCCTCGAGGTCTTTGTGAAGATTAAATGCTAGGCTGTGCATCCTGTACTCACGTGAGAGGTGCTCAAAAGCCACAGCCCTCGAGGAAACGAAGGCTGTGCACTCACACCTGGGGCTGGGGCCCCGTTCTGGCAGCTGGCTTCGGTGGAACCTCTGCGGCCCCCTCCGTTTCCTCCTCGCTGAAGTGGCATGATAACATTTCCTACCCAAGAAGAACCTTGTGAGGATGGATGAGAGTGTGTGCGTGCAGGGCAGCTGGCCCGGTGCCTGACACATCCACAGCCCTAAGAATTGTCCCCTTTGTCTGTTGGTCCGGCCCAGATCCCAGACCACCTCCTCGTCCACTCACTGACCGCCTTCTCCCCCGGCCAGGGCACCTACATCTACTTTGACTACGAGAAGTGGGGCCAGCGGAAGAAGGAAGGCTTCACCTTTGAGTACCGCTACCTGGAGGACCGGGACCTCCAGTGACACCGGCCCCTCCCTCTACCCACCCCCTTCCCCCGCATGCTGATCCCCCTGCCCAGGTGAGGGCCCTGCCCTGGAAGACTGGAGGGAGGCCCCAAGCCACGGGGCATCCCCCTCTCCCAGGAAGCAGGGAGGGGGCCGGGAGGTTTTCCTCTCAGCCCCACCCTGGGGGCCCGGGGGCGAGGGCTGCCCCCTCCTCCCCTCCCCAGTGAGGGACATTTTTTGGTAAACCTATTTTCATTTTGGAAAATATTTATGAATAAATAGTTTTATATGACGGCTGGCAGCAGCGGCCTCTCCTGTACCCCCTCAGGAGTCAGTGAGTAAGGTGAGGGTCCTGCTGGCGGGGGCGCCGGGCCAGCTGGGGGTTGAATTGGGAGTTGTACCGCCGCCGCCGGTCATCCGTCTCGTCTTCTTCCGGCTGACCCTCCTGTAGTGCCCGGCCTTGGACCCGGGCCAGCAGGGCCTCTGCCCGAGACCTCTCAGCTGCTTCCCTCCGCAGACGTTCAGCTCGAAGCTGGTCCAGGGATGGAGGCCTGTGGGGAGAGGAGTGAGGTCAGAAAGCTGGTAGCCCCTAGGAGGCCATTCCCCCAACCTCTCCCATAGAGGGAGCTGCCGCCTGGAAGCCCCGCTGCATCCAGCACACCCCAGCCTCAGCTCCTTAGGCCTGCTGGAAGCAGCCACTTGGTGCTGGGACGCCATGGGCACGTCTCTGGCCTTCCCTTCTGTGGGCTTTGGTCCTCCCCAGTCTTTAAAATCTGATGCTTCTCCAGGTCAAGAAAGCACACTTAGCAGCCCCCTGGCCCTCAGTTTCCCTTTCTAGAGGAAAGAAGACTACAGGCAGTGTACCCCCTCTAGACCAGGGGTGCAGCATCCTGGAGACAGAAGCCTGCTTTTACTCTCTAACCCAGCAGCTCTCAAACTCTTTGGTCTCAGGACCCCTTTATACTCTTAAAAACCAAGGACCCCAAGAGCTTTTGTTTAAATGGGTTCTCTTAATATGCTGCAAATCATTAGTGAAAACTAAGAAAGTTTGGACACAAGCATCTGCCATTGGCCATCAGAGTGAGGGTGTCTCCCCATCACACAGCCTCTGGAAACCTGCACTACATGCCTGAGAACACGAGTGGAAAAGTCCACCAGTGTCAGGAAAATAGGCTTGACACCACAGCACCCCGGGAAAGGGTGTCAGGACCCCTAGGGCTCCCTGGACCACATGCTGAGAACCACTTCTCCACCTAGCCAGCCCTTCACGGAGTCCCTGGCTGTCCTGACCAGAGACGCTGCAGTGCCCATGCTGGGCTGCTGCCAAGCCCTGAAGGTCTGGGCCCTGGTCTGCCGAGGTGGGGTCTTCTTACTCCTTGGGTCGCTGCTTCTCAGACCCCTCCTTTTCCTTTCTGCTGCGACTGCCTTCATCACCGCCGTGCTGTCTCTTCTTCCCCAGATGCTTCTGCATCTCCCGCAGAGGGTCCAGACGGCTCTTGATCTTCTCATCTGGGGCTGGGCCGGGCGGGGGGCCCCCTCGCCCTGGGGGTAGCTGGTACCAAGGGGGTTGAGTCTGTGCCTCCGCTGCACTCTGGCCCAGGTATGTCAGGATGCCCAGAGCTTTCTCTTGCCTCTCCTGAGGGGGCCAGGAAATACAAGAGATGTGATATAATCTTTCAAGGTGTCAGGTGTGTCTCCCTGACACAGGTATCTAAGCGAACAGGTATCTAAGGCTTGTTATGAACCAGTTGGACCAGGTGCTGGGGATGGAAGACAAACAGAGGCAAAGCTCCCCCTGGGGGGACAGTAGCAGGTACAGTAACAGCAGGGGAAGGAGGGGACAAGTGGAGCCACTTGAGTGTTCAGAGGCAGGCATCTTTGCAGAGAGACTTGAAGAGAAGCCTGAAGGGATCAAGCAAAGCAGAGGAGCGATGGGTGGGGTCAGCAAGTCCAGAGACAGCAGATAAATGACAAGAGCTGATGTACCTCTTTTTTTTGAGATGGAGTCTCGCTCTGTTGCCCAGACTCGAGTGCAGTGGCACGATCTCGGCTCACTGCAACCTCTGCTTCCCAGGTTCAAGCAATCCTCCTACCTCAGCCCCCCGAGTAGCTGGGATTACAGGCACACACCACCATGCCCAGCTAATTTTTGTATTTTTAGTAGAGACGGGGTTTTGCCATGTTTGGCCAGGCTGGTCTTGAACTTCTGACCTCAGGTGATCCACCCACGTTGGCCTCCCAAAGTGCTGGGATTACAGGCGTGAGCCACCATGCACAGCCACTGATGTACCTTTTACACTTGATCTTAGCCAAAAAGCAAGAGGCGATTGATTCACTTTTTGTTTGATTGTTTTGAGATGGGGTCTCGCTCTGTCACCCAGGCTGGAGTGCAGTGGCGCAATCTCGGCTTACTGCAGCTTCCACCTCCTGGGTCAAGCGATTCTCCTGCTTCAGCTTCCCTGGGATTACAGGCGCGCACCACCATGCCCGGCTAATTTTTTTTGTATTTTTAGAGATACCATGTTGACCAGGCTGGTCTTGAACTCCTGACCTCAGGTGATCCACCCGCCTCAGCCTCCCAAGGTGGTGGGATTACAGGCGTGAGCCACAGCCGGCTGATTTAAATTTTTAAAAGCCCATCAGGTTTGAGACTCCTCCAGTTTGGAGAACTGAGCGGTTTGCCCAGCAGCTGGGGACCTCTAGCATCTACCTCCAACCCCTGTGGGCGCCCAGACGGCAATAGCCAACGCTTTTTGAGTGTCATGCCTTGGTATGGTCCTAAATTCTGTGTGTTCACTCTTGTTTGACCTTGGTCACAACCAATGGCTAAAGTGCCCCCTCCCTCCAACTCGATTCATGGCCCCTCTGATGAAGTGGGTGAGGCCAGCTTACTTTCTCCTGTCGCTTTTCTTCCTCGTACTCTTTATTGCCTCTGATCACTCCTTTCCCTTCCTCCAGCAGCTCCCGAAACAGGTCCACAGGGCCAGAACCTGGGGCTCCCGCCTCTGCTGCTTCAAGCTCAGGCAGTGAGTTCTGATGTCTGGCTTTCTTCCGTAGGAATTCTGTACGGGCCTGGGGAGAAAGTTATAGGCAGGACATTCAGAACCTAGAGGTAATTCAAGAACTGTGAGTCTGGTGCCCACCACAGAAAATGGCAGTCCAGGGTGCTGGGGTTATGAGAAAGGGAGCACTAGGCGCCTAAAAGAGGCACCTGTCCTAGCTGGGGGTGAGGGTAGGCAGATGAGGCAACGCCTGGGTTTTGTAAACTCCCTTTCAAATAGTAAACCACGGGTCATCAAGGATGTATGGGAGGAGGTCCCTGGCCTAAACCAAAGGGGTTCCTAACCTCAAGTGAGACAATTAAAACAGCCATAAAGGTATGCATTAGGCCAGACGATCTGAATTCTAGCCATGGCTCCAAGTGACTACCCCAAGTCTGCTGAAGCCCTGTCCCCTGCCTTCAGGACGCGGATTTCAAACAGCGCTCAGCAGCCTACTGAGATTCTAAAAACCTAGACTACCTCCCACCCACGGCGGAGGATCAGACTAGCTAAGGAAATGAAAGTTGGGTGTACACCAAACAGATTTAAAGAGCCATACGGAAAGCCCGTGTTTGTGTGTATGTGTCTAGGGGGCGGTGCACGAAAGGGCTCGCCCGATGGCGTGGAGCCTGGCTGTCCGCCTCTCCTTAAAATGTGCCTTCCCCTCACTGAAGCCATCTCACTTCGTGCAACAGAGATGACAGTGCCCCTCTAAGAACGAACAGTGCTTATTGGGGATTCCGCAAGTCAGGTGCACGGCATGTAGTTAGCATACAGTAGATGCTCAATAAATAGGCTGTGCAGGCAAACTAAAAAGTGATCCGAATTTCCTTGAACTGTCCAAGGGTTCACGGATTCATTAAATGTTAAGCTTCTCTTTTGTGCTAGACACTGTTCCAGCCATGTGAAATACATCAGTGGGGGAAAAACTAAGACGAGGGCGAGATCAAGGAAGGTTTCGTGGAAGTGGGCACAAGGTTTGCGGGGCAACGTCCTCGAAAGTGGGATCGGCGCCTGGTCCCGAATTTCACACGGGGCACATTGAGCCTGCGCAACGCCTCCGCTTCCGGCCCCCAACCGCGGCGCCTGCGCGCTGGGCCCCGGAGCGCCGCCCTGCCGGCTTCCGAGCTTACCTCTTGCTGAGCCAGCAGCACCCTCCGCTCACGCTCCTTCTCCTCCTCCCGGGCCTGGGCCTCGTCACGCCGCACGCGGGCGACATTGTCCTTGTTCCGGACGTGCCAGCTCTTCTTGGGCAAGATATTCATGGCGTCGTAGCTGTCCAGGGACTGGCACGCCCGCCTCTTTGCACTTCCGATTGGCGAGAGGATGCCCCCCTTTTTCTTGTCCCTACTTCGACCGCGGATTGGTTCCGAATTAGTTGGTACGGCCCCCTGGCCTGTAGCGACAGGTGATTGGCTGAGACGCCCTTTATCACAGCGAATGCTAGGCGTTCGGCTCGTGGTATCCCCTAGCAACCGCCTCTTGTCACAGATCTGAACCAATCATAAGTTGGCCCGCCCCTGATGCTACCAGATGCGGCCGTCGATTGGCCGACATGACCGACAAGTCTCCTTGCGGAAGAGCGCTCTGCACCGACAAACATGCCCGTACATTTGATTGGCTCCTGCCCCGCTGTAGCCCTGCCCCCACCTTCAGGACGCAGATTTCAAAGCGCGCTCAGCAACCTCGGCTGTATTTATTGATACAAGGAAGATCACCCGAGAGTCAGGGACGTGGCGGCGAGGGGCCCTGGAAATCTCCAGATACCAAAGCTGGAAGGGCGTGGAGTCTTCTCCAGTTCTCCTAGTTTACAGATGTTGTGACCTAGGCTTACAATGGGCCTGGGGTCTGAAAGCGGGACGTGGGCTGCGGGGGTCAAAGAGCCGGTTTGGTGGAGGTCAGCGCCACAGCGCGCCGTGCCAGGAAGACTTTATTCTGCGCCTCCTGGGGCAAAGAGAGGTGGAGGTGAGACAATCCTCTTCCCCAACCCCTTTCCATGTTCCCCAGGGGCCCTCTCAGGGACCCGCCTGGCTCACCGTCTGTCTCTGACGTTTGAGCTCAGAGATGAGGCGTCCGTAGGAGTTAGCCAGAGCCACAGTGTACGCCATCAGGATGCTGAAGGAGACAGGAACGGAAGCCACTCCTGACACGCTCTTCCATTATATCCAAACGTCTGGCTCCTTCGAAGCCAGGGATGTGGACGCCTAAGCCCCTCCTCGTCTGGGCTCAAGGAGTTCAGTCTCCCAGCCCCTCCGCCTTCAGATCCAGGAGTCCTACGTCCCGCCCACCTCCTCCTTCGGACCCAGCAGTCCAGGAGCCTAGGCCTCCTCCCTCAGACTCAGTACGTTGCCTGCTCCCACGCCCAAGCCTCTCCTCTCTTGGACGCAGGTGGTGGCCCCCAGATCACACGCATTCAAACCCAGACCCAGAAGTCTGGGCCGTCTCACCTGGAGATCAGCAGAAGGGGCACAGCAAAAGCCTGGGTCCCCAGGAAGAAGAGGAAATTCTGGGTGGTCTCAGGGAGGCTGGAAATAGACTCAGGGATCTGGGCCCAGATGGACGACTGCCCCCGGAATGGACCACAAAGCTTAGAAGGCGGGATCCTGAAGTCAAGACAGGCTGGGCTCACATAGTGCCAGGAGTCTGAACACTGAATGGGGAGAGAGGGAGGGAGAGAGGCGGGAGCCTCTCGCACTTACAGGAAGATGCTGTAAAGCAGGGGAACGCTGGAGATGGCCAGACCCAGGAGAAGGACCAAGGGGAAAAAGAAATTCGCCGCGGAGGCCCGGAAGGTGCGGGCAGCCGGGGAGCAGGTGGAGAAGAGGGTAAGCTGGTGGGGGAAGGCACGGAGAAAAGGGCTCTGAAACACAAGAGTCTGTGCCTCCATTTTTTTTTTTTTTTTTTTTGAGACAGAGTCTCGCTCTGTCGCCCAGGCTTTTTTTTTTGAGACAGAGTCTCGCTCTGTCGCCCAGGCTGGAGTGCAGTGGCTCTCACTGCAGCCTCCCCTCCCGGGTTCAAGCTATTCTCGTGTCTCAGCCTCCCGAGTAGCTGGGATTACAGGTGTGCACCACCACTCCCGGCTAATTTGTTTTGCTGTTGTTGTTGTTTGTTTGTTTTCTCTTTTTGAGACGGAGTCTCGCTCTGTCGCCCAGGCTGGAGTGCAGTGGCACGATCTTGGCTCACTTCGACCTTCACCTCCCTGGTTCAAGCAATTCCCCTGCCTCAGCCTCCTGAGTAGCTGGGATTACAGGCGCCTGCCACTAAGCCCGGCTAATTTTTTTTGTATTTTTAGTAGAGACGGGGTTTTGCCATGTTAGCCAGGCTGGTCTCAAACTCCTGACCTCAGGTGATCCACCCGCCTTAGTCTCCCGAAGTGCTGGGATTACAGGCGTGAGCCACTGCACCCGGCCTACCTGCCTCTCCTTTTTTCCGAACCAGGAGTCTGAGCCCCTTCCTCATCTAGGACCCCGGAGTCTGAGTCCCCAGATCCTCAGACATATAAGTCAGAATGCCCTAGACCCCTCCTCTCAGATGCAGTAGTCTGTCCTCCAACCCCCTCCTCTCTCAGGACCGAGTAATCCAGGCCCCCAGGATCTTCCTTGCCCTTGACCCAGGAGTGCGGGCCCCAATACCTCCTGCCTCAGACCCAAGGGTCCCCCCTACCCCTTACCTTCTTCAGGTAGAAAAGCAGCAGGAACTTGACCGTGTTAAGCAGGGGCAGTAAAGGGCAGAAAAAACTCCCCACCCAGACCACCGTCTGCGCGTAGATGAGCCCCAGCACCTCGTCGGGCACCTGGAACTCCTGGGTCCCCGCCAGACGACCCAGCGCCCCAGGACAGAGGCCACAGAGGAGCCTGAAGGACGGGGCGGGGCCGGGCCGGAGTCAGGGGAGTGGCGGCCTGGAGTTTCCCCGCCTCCACCGCCCCGCCCGCCAATAGGAAGCATGCGTATTGGTTGGGGGGGGGGGGGCGGGACTTTCAGGACTCCACGTGGAGGGGGTGTGTCCAGAGGGCGGGTCCTGAGGACTAGAAGGGACCCAGATGTCGCCGCCGTCGGGGCCAGAGGGAAGTAACCCACTAAAACAAGGGCGGGGAGCGGGGAGATCTGCGGACCTAGGGCAAGCAAAGGGAGCAGGCAGAGGCGGGAATGGTAAAAAGGTGCGCGGTGAAAAGAACAGCGCGATGGGGCACGGCCTCGTCCTAGAGGGGCGGGGCCACAGCAAGGGGCGGGGCTCTCACTTTCTAGGAAACTGGATGAGCAGCGCGACTGCCAAGACAGTCAGCAGATCAAAGAGCAGAAGTTTGTACATTTCCTGGCCCAGGACAGTCTCCCAGCACTGAAGAAGGAAGAAATATATCAGAAAGAACTCGGGACCCGGGCACCTGGAGGCCCACGCGTCCGAGTCTCCACATCGCAAGCCTATGAGACCCTGTCAATACTTTCTCTGGGGGTCCTCGTTTTTCAAACTTTCATACCCTTGGGAGAGTGTTCCAGCACCCCAAGCTCCCCTCTCCGCCCAAACCAAGAGTCTGGACCCACCCAGCTCCATCTTTCCTTCAGGGACCCAAGAGTCCCACGCACACCCATGCCGTTCTCACCGGAAGTTGTTTGTAATTGTAGCCACAGGTTTTGCAGTCCTCAGCCTCGGAGTCGCCCCCACAAGTGATCTGATTCCAGAGAGAGAAGAGCAGGACCACCAGGGAGGCGAGGCGAAGAAACACGGTCCTGAAGGGGGGAAGGCAGAGAATGGGCCCTGACCCGGTACCCACCATGTGGCAGTTCCCTTCTCAGTGGAACGCGCCCGCATTCAACCCATCTCACAGATGAAGCTGAGGCCCAGTGACAGAATCAGGATTTCTTTCTTTCTTTCTTTCTTTTTTTTTTTTTTTTTTTGAGACAGGGTCTCACTCTGTCACCCGGACTGGAGTGCAGTGGCGCGATCTCAGCTCACTGCAACCTCCACCTCCCAGGCTCGAGCCATTCTCCTGCCTCAGCCTCCCGAGTAGCTGGGACTACAGAAGCCACTACCGCCGGGCTAATATTCGTATTTTTACTACAGACGGGGTTTCATCATGTTTGTCAGGCTGGTCTCGAACTCCTGACCTCAGCCTCGGCCTCCCAAAGTGCTGGGATTACAGGTGTGAGCCACTGCACCTGGCCAACAGAGTCAGGATTTGAATCCCTGGATTCGGTATCAGCAGGATTTCCGTGTCTTACCTGTCAGCGCCAACATCCCTCTGACCGCCCCCACCCTTCATCATTCCCAGCCATCCCCGTGAGGCTGGAACCTGAGCAGGATAAAAACGATCTGGCGACTCCGAGTGTAGCCCTCCAGTGGAGCAATGAGCTTGAACACGGGCGGCAGCACAAAATTGACCCCAGCGATGAAGATGGACGGAAGGTAATTCACCCCAAGCTTCAGCAGTGGCAACTCCTGGACAAGGGGCATCTCCTGGGAGCGGGATGGACCATGAGTAGAGGCTTGGGGTCCTGGAGGAGCCAAGCTTAAGGTCCTCCCCCCGGCCTCTTCTTCTTCTTCTTCTTTTTTTTTTTTTTTTTGAGACAGAGTCTCGCTCTGTTGCCCAGCCTAGAATGCAGCGGTGCGATCTCGGCTCGCTGCAACCTCTGCCTCCCGGGTTCAAGTGATTCTCCTGCCTCAGCCTCCTGAGTAGCTGGGATTACAGGCGCCCACCACCACGCCCGTCTAATTTTTGTATTTTTAGTAGAGACTGTTTTTCACCATGTTGGTCAGGCTGGTCTGGAACTCCTGACATCGTGATCCGCCCGCCTCAGCCTCCCAAAGTGCTGGGATTACAGGTGTAAGCCACCGCGCCCAGCCTCTCTTTTTCCTTTAAAATCCCTAAGTCCAGGGTCCGAACATACCCTCTCCCATACTTCCTCTCTAAGATCTCTGGCATCCCAAACTTCCGTCCCCTCCCTCCACCGTTGGAAATGTAGGTTCCAGGACCCCCTGGCTTCCTCTTCCAAGACCGTCCGCACCTGCAGCTCCACGGTGCACCCCGTAGCCCAGTAGACGCCATAGAAGGCTGCCCCCAGGAGCGCGACCACCAGCAGGTTGAGCAGCACCCGCACCAACCAAACCCTGGCTTGCTGGCCCAGCGTCCGCACCGCAGCCTGGCGCCGCACCACTGTCTCCTCCAGCTCCACCTGAAGGCAGGAGAGATGCCCGCTTGGACTCCATTTCCCAAGGCGCGGGCCTCCCGGTTCCCCAGGTCTGGCTCTCCAGAGATCCTCCTTAACGTGAACTGATGCAGCCGTCTCCCCACCCGCTAACAACCTCTGCAGTCCTGGTTCCACCCGCTCCAGGAAACCAGCGGCCCTTTACAGCCCCGCCCCTTCGCGGCCGGATCCAGCAACCCAAGCCCCCATCCCTCCGCGGTCAATCTCAGCACCCCAGGCCCCGCCCCTGAGGCTCCGCCCAGCATCCCAAGACCCGCCCCTGGTCAGCCCTGCCCATCAGAGGCTCCGCCCCCAGGTGGCCCTGCGCTTTATTCCTGGCCTGAAGTTCCAGTTCAGCTGTATCAAGACGCCCTGCTGGCCGCTCCCATCACTTAACTTTGAACCAAATTGCCTTAGGCCCCGCCCGCTTCTTGTGCTTACTTAAAAAAAAACAAACTTTTTTTTTTTTTTTTTGGTAGAGAGGGAGCCTCCCTATGTTGCCCAGGCTGGTCTCGAACTCCTAGACTGAAGCGATCCACCTGTCTCGGTCTCCCAAAGTGCTGGGGTTACAAGCATTAGCCACCGATCCCAGCCCTGGCGCATCCTTTTCCTACACGCTTGGAGCTCGGGCAGCCCTATCTCGGCCTCCTCTCAACCTTCTCATTCCCCAGGACCTGCCTTTCTTGGAGAAGGAGCTGCTTAGCATCTCTCCGGAGGCCCCATCACCGAGTTAGGCCCTGTGCGTTATCTCAGCCCGGTCCTGTCTGGTCCCTACCCAGTTGCAGACCCCGCTCCCTAATCGCACCTTTAATTCGTACAAGATGATGCGCTGGCGCAGCCGCACGTGGACGTCCCCGCAGAGACCGAAGTCCCAGGCCGAGAACACCCGGTGGCTGTAGCTGGTCAGAGCCTCGGACTCCGCCAGCAGTGTCTGCTTCAGCCCAGACACCGAGCTGAGAGGGGAGACCCGGGAGACGGGAAGTGAAAGGACAGCCAGGAACGGGGGTTATGGGGAGACCCCTCATATTGGGACAAATGGGGAAGATGAACCCTAAGGCCTTGGGTACTAGGCGAGTTCCCACCAGACCAGATGGGGAAAGAGTCAAAGAGGCGGAGACACAGTCATTGAAGGCAAAGTCCAAGGGAGATTCAGAGACAGTTCTGGGGTGCAGGCACCCCAAAGAGAGGCAGAAACCTAGGAGACAGGGACAGAGCCTCGGAGCGAAGGGGGCAGAAACCCAGAGTGAGAGAAACAGAGGCCCTGAGGAAGACAGAGATGTGGAGGAGGGACAGAGGCCCCAGAGGGAGATTCGGAGAAAGGGAGAAAAAGACAGTGAGAAAGGGGAAACTACATCTACAAAAGATGGGGGTCAAAGACCCATAAGAAGTACAGGCACACAGAGAAGGGAGCTGCGGCGGGAAGAGCCGAGAAGAAGACAGAGACCCAGAGAAGATGGCAGGTAAAGACTCAAGAGAGGGGGCAGGCCAGGCGCCATGGCTCACGCCTGTAATCCCAGCACTTTGGGAGGCCGAGGGGGGAGGATCACCTGAGGTCAGGAGTTTGAGACCAGCCTGGCCAATGTGGTGAAACCCCGTCTCTACTAAAAATACAAAAATTAGCCAGGCGTGGTGGTGCATGCCTGTAATCCCAACTACTTGGGAGGCTGAGGTGGGAGGATCACTTGAACCCAGGAGGTGGAGGTCGCCTCCAAAAAAAAAAAAAAAAGACCCAGAGAAGACGGGCAGGTAAAGAGACTCAAGAGAGGGGGGCAAAGACCCAGGAAGGAGATAGAGAACCCCAGCAGGGGCAGAAACAGAACTGGACAAAGAGACCATGTGCACCTTCACTGCCCTGGCCCCGGCCCCCATCATCTCTCATGTGAACAACCACAGAGGGCCCTCACATGGTCTCCTTGCTTCCACTTGTGCCCGCATATAATCCATTCTCAGTTCTTGAGCCAGTGGGACCTTCTTTTGATGCAACTCAGACCGTATTCCCCTGTTTAAGACCTATTCCAGGGCTTTTCCCTTCTCTTAAAATCGAGGCTCTTTGCCGGGCGTGGTGGCTCACGCCTGTAATCCCAGCACTTTGGGAGACCGAGGCGGGTGCATCACCTGAGGTCAGGAGTTCGAGACCAGCCTGACAAACATGGTGAAACCCCATTTCTACTAAAAATACAAAATTAGCCGGGCATGGTGGCACATGCCTGTAATCCCAGCTACTTGGGAGGTTGAGGCAGGAAAATTGCTTGAACCCGGGCGGCGGAGGTTGCAGTGAGCTGAGATCGCACCACTGCACTCTAGCCTGGGTGACAGAGCGAGACTCCGTCTCAAAAAAAAAAAAAGTTGACTTTTGGCCAGGCACATTGGCTCATGCCTGTAATTCCAGCACCTTGGGAGGCTGAGGTGAGCAGATCTCTTGAGCCTAGGAGTTTGAGCGCAGCCTGGGCAACATAGCAAGACCCTGTCTCTATAACATTAAAAAAAAAATTTTAGCAAGACATGGTGGTGCACCCCTGTGGTCCCAGCTGCTCCCGAGGCTGAGGTAGGCGGATCAGTTGAGTTCCGGAGGCCCAGGCTTCCGGTGAGCTATGATTGCACCACCGCACGCTAGCCGGGTGACAGAGTGAGACCCTGTCTCAAAAAACAAAACAGACTGGGTGCGGTGGCTCACACCTGTAATCCCAGCACTTTGGGAGGCCGAGGCAGGTGGATCACCTGAGATCAGGAGTTCGAGACCAGCCTGGCCAACATGGCGATACCCCGTCTCTACTAAAAATACAAAAAATTAGCTGGGCGTGGTGGCCGGAGCCTGTAAACCCAGCTACTTGGGAGGGTGAGGCAGTAGAATCGCTTGAACCCGGGAGGTGGAGGTTGCAGTGAGCCAAGATCGTGCCATTGCACTCCAGCCTGGGCGACAGAGTAAGACTCTGTCTCAAAAACAAACAAACAAAACAAATGAAAAACAAAAACAAATCCCAAAACCTTGATCTTTTTTTTTTTTTTAGATGGAGTTTCGCTCTGTCGCCCAGGCTGGAGTGCAGTGGCGCAAACTCGGCTCACTGCAAGCTCCGCCTCCTGGGCCACCGCTCCTGGCCCAAAACCTTGATTTTAACTCACACAGAATAAAGGGTTACACAGCAAGACCGAGGATTCTGGGGCCGGGCGCGGTGGCTCACGCCTGTAATCCCAGCACTGTGGGAGGCCGAGGCGGGTGGATCACGAGGTCAGCAGTTCAAGACCAGCCTGACCAACATGGTGAAACCCCATCTCTACTAAAAATACAAAAAAGTTAGCTGGGCGTGGTGGCGGGCGCCTGTAATCCCAGCAACTTGGGAGGCTGAGGCAGGAGAATCGCTTGAAACCGGAAGGCGGAGGTTGCAGTGAGCCGAGATTGCGCCACTACACTCTAGCCTGGGCAATAAGAGCAAAACTCCGTCTCAAAAAAAAAAAGACTGAGGATTCTTGGGGAGGGGGTTTCTGCCACCACCACTTGCTCCCCCACCCCAACCCGTCCCGTCAGGGGTCAGGGGTGCAGGTGCCACTGACCGATGCAGGATGAGCAGGAGGCAGATGAGGCCAACGGCAAAGGCCCAGCACAGGTAGGTGACCGCCAGGCGTGGGCGGGGCGGGTAGAAGCCATAGAAGAGAGGGGACCATTCCAGGTAACCCTGTGGGGGGAAGGCGGCGCAGGGGCCACTGTGGGAGGAGGCGGGGCTCCTGGAGCTGCACAGTCAGGGTCTGGGGTCAGGGTTTGAGGTTCGTGTCATTGAAGGCACTGGGGTCACAGGTGGGCGGGGAATCCCCCAGGGACCCAGGCACCTACCTCACCCGAGAGCAAGTTGAAGAGCTGGGTGGCAAAGGTGACCAGGCCCTGGGAGTGGGGGTTATAGGAGCCGCAGGGCGAGGAGATGTCGGGGCCGGGAGGGCCTGGGGGAGCGCCTCCCAACCAGGTGGGCAGCAGCGTCATGCAGGCCATGAGCACAGAGGCCAGCACGTTAAGAAGGAGCAGGAAGCGCAGCAGGGAGAAGTAGGACTCCGTGCCGGCGCCAAACTGGCCTGCAGGGGGCAGCAGAGAGAGGCTCAGGTTCCTTCCCGGGAGCAGGACCAGCCCCTCCTACCCCTGGACTGGGGTCCAGCCGCGCCTTCCTTTCTTTCTTTCTTTTCTTTCTTTTCTTTCTTTCTTTCTTTTCTTTCTTTCTTTTTCTTTCTTTCTTTCTTTCTTTCTTTCTTTCTTTCTTTCTTTCTTTCTTTCTTTCTTTCTTTCTTTTCTTTCTTTCTTTCTTTCTTTCTTCCTTTCTTTCTTTTCTTTCCTTCCTTCCTTCCTTCCTTCCTTCCTTCCTTCCTTCCTTCCTTCCTTCCTTCCTTTCTTTCTCTCTCTCTCTCTCTCTATATATATATATATATATTTTTCTTTTCTTTTCTTTTCTTTTTTTTTTTTTGAGACGGAGTTTCGCTCTGCCGCCCAGCATGGAGTGCAGTGGCGCGATCTCGGCTCACTGCAACCTCCGCCTCCTGGGTTCAAGCAATTCTCCTGTCTCAGCCTCACGAGTAGCTGGGATTACAGGCGTGCGCCACCATGCTCAGCTAGTTTTTGTATTTTTGGTAGAGACGGGGGTTTCACCATGTTGGTCAGGCTGGTCTCGAATTCTTGACCTCAGGTGATCCACCCACCTCGGCCTCCCAAACTGTTGGGATTACAGGCGTGAGCCACCGCGCCAGGCCCAGCCGTGCCTTTCTCAGACCCAAGAGTCCAGACCCCCAGCCCCTCCTCCCTCAGACCCAAAAATCCAGGCCCAAGCCCCTCCTCCCTCAAACCCAGGAGTCCGTCCCCAGCCCCTCCTCCCTCAGACCCAGGAGTCCAGGCCCTGCCCCCAGGACACCACCCAAACCCCACCGCACCCCCGATCCTCTTCAGTGTCCACGCCCAGGGCTGCAGGCTTCGCAAGCCTTCCTTTGTTTTCTCCTTGGACCTCCGAAGTAGCCGCGCCCATCGGTCCGTCTTAGTTCCAGAGCCATAGACCACCTGGTCCCTGCTGGCATTTCTTTGCCTGGGAGGGAAACAGGCAGAAAATGAGGGGTTTCGCAGCCCCAGACTGGGAACCATCTGAATGTAGACACAATCCAACAGTAGAATGGAGAAGTAAATTGTGGCCTATACATAAGATAGAATACTCTGTAGCAATAAAAAAGAAACCAGCTGGGTACAGTGGCTCAGGCCTGTAATCCCAGCACTTTGGGAGGCCGAGGTGGGTGAATCACCTGAGGTCAGGAGTTCGAGACCAGCCTGACCAACATGGTGAAATCCTGTCTCTACTAAAAATACCAAAAAAAAAAAAAAATTAGCTGGGCCTGGTGGCGGGTGCCTGTAATCCCAGCTACACGAGAGGCTGAGGCAGGAAAATTGCTTGAACCTGGGAGGTGGAGGTTGCAGTGAGCTGAGATGGCGCCATTGCATTCCAGCCTGGGTGACGGAGTGAGATTCCAAGAAAGGAAAGAAAGAAAGAAAAGAAAGAAACCTAATGCTAGGCAGAAGAAGCCAGCACAAAAGACTGAAGACTGTATGATTCTATTTGCACAACGTTGCAGAGCACAGCTTGCAAAGCTCTACAGAAAAGCAGGAGGCTGGAGTGGGAGGATCGCTTGAGCCCAGGTGTCGGAGGCTGCAGTGAGCTGAGACTGCACCACTGCACTCCAGCCTGGGCATCAGAGCAAGACTCTGTCAAAAAAAAAAAAAAAAAGGTTAGGGAGAAGAGGTTACCTTGTATTTGTGAGGAAAAAGGGGGTGTCAGGGGAGGGACGCACAGGGTGCTGTCATGCCGTGTCACTTGCCCTAGCTGGAGTTTATCTGGGCTCTCACTTTATGAATACAGCCATCCCTCAGTATCCATGGGGGTTGGTTCAAGGACTCCCCAAGAATACTGAAATCTGTAGATGCCCAAATTCCTTATATAAAACGGTATAGTATTTGCATACAGGCTACACACATCCTCCTGTGTTTGTTTTATTTTATTTTAATTTTTATCTGATTTTTACAGACAAATGTCTCGTTTTGTTGTCCAGGCTGGAGTGCGGTGGTGCAATCATAGCTCAATGCAGCCTCAAACTTCCAGGCTCAAGCAATTCTCCCGCCTCAGCCTCCCAAAGCGCTGGGGCTACAGGTATGGGCCACGACACCCAGCCCTCCAATGCACTTTAAATCACCTCTAGATTACTTATAACACCCGGTACAAGGTAAATGTTATATAGATAGCTGTTCTTTTAACTTGTATTATTTTTTGTCATATTGTTACTTTGATTATTACTTTTAAAAAATAGAGATGGGGGTCTCGCTATGTTACTCAGGCCGCAGTATAGTGGCTATATTCACAGGCATGATCCCACTACTGATCGGCGTGGGAGTGTTGATACATTGTTATTTTTTATTGTTTTTTCCATATATATACACATATATATACATATATATGTGTATATATATACACACATATGCATATATATACGCATATATGCGTATATATATACGCGTATATACGCGTATATATATATTTGAGATGGAGTCCCGCTCTATCACCCAGGCCGGAGTCCAATGGCACGATCTTGGCTCACTGCAACCTCTATCTCCCTGGTTCAAGCGATTCTCCTGCTTCAGCCTCCCGAGTAGCTGGGATTACAGGCACCCGCCACCACACCCAGCTAATGTTTGTATTTTTAGTAGAGTTGGGGTTTTGCCATGTTGGCCAGGCTGGTCTTGAACTCCTGACCACAGGTGATCCACTCGCCTGGGCCTCCCAAAGTGCTGGGATTACAGGTGTGAGCCACTGCAATGGGCCCATAATCATTTTTGAAGGAGGGCACCTGCATTTTCATTGTTCACCAGGCCCTGCAAATTATGCAGTGAGAATGGGAAAAGAAAGAAGTTAAAGAGAGGGAGGCTTGGAAGAGGAGGCAAAGATGAAGGAAGGTATAAAGCAGAGAGAAATAAATATTAACAGATTTTGGACACACACACAGAGAGAAACTGAGGCAGAGACAGGATTGGTGGAGACCAGGGAGACGGCAAATCCCAGAGAGAAGAGACCCCAGAGCCATCGAAAGGCAGCACTCACCTGGAGTCCGAAGTAGAGACAAAGATGAGGGGAAGAAAGAAACCAAGAGAGGCAGCTCTGAGCGGGGCAGAGAGAGGCCCCAGAAGCCAGGAGCGGCAGAGGACAGAGGGAGGAGACCGAGTCCAGGGTATGGGAGAAGGGCCCGGTCCGGGCTGTGCGGGTCCCAGCTGGAGGTGGGGCCTCACCTGTGTGCCCGTCTGGCCTGCATGGGCCAGGGCAGTTCCCGGGAAGGGTGAGGGTCCTGCAGCTCTGTCTGGGTGACTTCTGTGAAGGCCTTTCTGCTCCTTCCTCCATCCTCCTCCTCCTCCTCCAGCGCCCCCCAAGGCAGCACCCCAGGGTCTCGGTACCGAAGGGTGGCAGCACTGGGCAGCTCGTTCAGCACAGAAGACAGCGATGGGCCTGGGGAGGAGCAGGGGGCTGGGAAGACCCGGGAGTCTGGGCCCTAATTCCTCCTCCCTCAGACCAGGAAACCAGGTCCCCGGCCCCTCCTCCCTCAGACCCAGGAGTCCAGGCCCCCGGCTCCTCCTCCCTCAGACCCAGGAGTCCAGGCCCCCGGCTCCTCCTCCCTCAGACCCAGGAGTCCAGGCCCCCGGCTCCTCCTCCCTCAGACCCAGGAGAACAGGCCCCCGGCCCCTCCTCCCTCAGACCCAGGAGAACAGGCCCCCGGCCCCTCCTCCCTCAGACCCAGGAGTCCAGGCCCCCGGCTCCTCCTCCCTCAGACCCAGGAGAACAGGCCCCCGGCCCCTCCTCCCTCAGACCCAGGAGTCCAGGCCCCCGGCTCCTCCTCCCTCAGACATAGGAATCCAGGCACCCAGCCCCTCCTCCCTCAGACCAGGAAACCAGGTTCCCAGCCCCTCCTCCCTCAGGCCCAGGAGTCCGGGTGCCAGCCTCTACTTCCCCTGGACCCAGGGGTCCACAGCCCTCAACTCCATCCCCAAGCGTGGAACCCTCCTACTCCAGGGCAGTGGAGTCCAGGCTTCAACTTCCTTTTCCCTCTAGCTCAGGAGTGTGGGAACCCAGCCTCTCCTATTCCCAAGACACCCAAACTCCCAGCCCTTAGCCCTCCCCTCCTCCCAGACTAGCCTGGTTCTCCAGGCTCCTCCTCCTCAGACCCTGGAGTTCCAGCCTCCAGTTCCCTTCTCCCCCATAATATCAGGAAGTGGAACCTTCTCTCTTTAGCCCTCAGACTCAGGAGGCCAGGCCTCCCCTTTCCTCCTCCAGCAGGACTCCCACCTAGCCTGAAGGTCGGATGGATCTGAGCTTCTCCTGGCATTCCCTACCTCCTCTGGCCTCCCGGGGGGCCAGCCACCCCCTAGAGGAGCCCCAGGCTTCTGATTCCAAGGTCGGGTTTTCTTCCATGGCCCAGGCTGGGCTGTCTCTAGTGGCCACCAGGCAGACACTGCCCCAGGTAAGGGAGGGGCCAGGGGCAGGTGTGTACCTGGCCAGCAGGTGGCCCGGAGGGAGTAAGGTACACTTCCTGTGGTTTCTCAGGGCCGCTGATGCGAAAGGTCTCCTGGGAGCTGAAGTCCCCGTGGTGCCCCGGGCCTGACAGTTTGGTTCCTGGGCTGGGCGGGGGGGCTGTACCTCACCCTGGGACTTGGTGGACTAAGTCCTTCCCACCGTTTATCACCCAGATACCTGCACGGACAGGATGCCTTTGTGCAACACTTTATTGGGAAAGATTTACACACGGTGACCTGTCATAGGCCAAGCGATGAGAAGAGGGCGCCAGGAGCGCTGGGGTCCCGAGGTGGCTCAGATGGAAGCCATGGGACGGCCGTCCCCAGGCCCGCGCACCCGCACCTCAGTTTCCCCTTTGTGAAATGGGAAGCTTATGCTTCCTTCCAAGTCTGCAATATTGGTGCGATGAGCTAAAAGTGGAGCGAAAGACACAAGGAAGAGGCTTCCCACTCCCAGGACCTGCCCCCAAGCTCCGACCCCACATTGTGGATGCAAAGAAAGGGAATTTGCCCAAAACCCACTGCCCAGGGGCCCCTTCCGTTTTGGGGAAGTGCAGTGCTCTCTGGATACCCAGAAGCTGGAGCAGGGGCCAGTGACTCTTGTCTGGACAATACTTTGATTTTGTAGGAGTGGAGGTGGCCTCTGGGCAGAGGGCAGGGAGGACACCCCCGGGTCTGCTTCAGTTGCAGGCAGGGTATTTAGCTGGGGAAGAGGAAATTCTCTCCAGGACCCTCTCCAAGGTAAGGACTCTTTCTGGGGAGGAGACAGCAGCCTGGTTCACAGAATTCCCGGGACCAGCTGGCAGAGGGAGCGTCGTGACAGCTTACTCCTCCCGGAGCTTCTCTGGGGCAAGGCTGGTGGGCTGGGATGCTGCCTTCCGCCGGCTGGGGCTGCCCCCACCTAAAGCCAGCCCCAGCCCCAGGGCTGCCAGGGCCAGGAAGTGGATACAGAAGTAGATGGAGGCCCAGTACCGAAGGGTGTCGGCCAAGGAGAGCAGCACGAAGCCCATGCACATGTAGTCATAGGCGCGCATCTTCAGGAACCAGTGCACCCAGTCCCAGGCCTTCTGGCCCCCTGGGCTCAGCCGCCCCCGCAGGGCTGACTCCAGCCGGCCCTCGGCAGCCAGGCACAGCGGGATGGTCAGGAAGCTCAGGTAGTAGCCCGGGTGGAGGCCGTGCCAGTAGGCGCTCAGCAGCATGGTCCAGGCGCTCCTGAGGAGGAGGCTGGGAGTCAGGACCTACGAGTCCAGGTCCCCAGTGCCCACTGCCCCCAGATCCAGGAGTCCAGGACCCCAGCCCCTCCTCCCTCAGACCGAGAAGTGCAGGCCCAGCCCCTCCTCCCTCAGACCCAGGAGTCCAGACCCCACCCCTTCCTCCCTCAGACCCAGGAGATCAGGCCCCAGTCCCTCCTCCCTCAGACCCAGGAGACCAGACCCCACCTCCCTCCTCCCTCAGATCCAGGAGTCCAGACCCCACTTCCCTCCTCCCTCAGATCCAGGAGACCAGACCCCACCTCCCTCCTCCCTCAGATCCAGGAGACCAGGCCCCAGGCCCTCCCCACTCAGACCCATGACCCTAGCTCCGGAAGGCGGAGGAGGCTACAGGCCTCTGTCTCCTTCAGGGATCCAGGAGCTCGCAGCCTTCCATACACACTCAGTCCTATCAAGACCCTCTTCTTCTTTAAAGATTTAACATTTTATATTCCACTGCCCTTCCTCTCCCAGGACCAACAAGTCTTAATTCTTCAGCCCAGTGGTTTTTTTTTTTTTTTTTTGAGACAGAGTCTCGCTCTGTCGCCCAGGCTAGAGTGCAGTGGCGCGATCTTGGCTCACTGCAAGCTCCGCCTCCCAGGTTCACGCCATTCTCCTGCCTCAGCCTCCCGAGTAGCTGGGACTACAGGCGCCCGCCACCACGCCCGGCTAATTTTCTTTTCTATTTTTAGTAGAGACGGGGTTTCACCGTGTTAGCCAGGATGGTCTCGATCTCCTGACCTCGTGATCTGCCCGCCTTGGCCTCCCAAAGTGCTGGGATCACAGGTGTCAGACACCACACCCGGGCAGCCCGGTGGTTCTTAACCTGGGGTCCCAGGTCTGGCATCAGCATCACCTGAGAACTTGTGAGACATACAAATCCTTGTCCCCACCCCTTTTGCACCAGAAGCCCTGGGGGTGGGGCCCAGGAGAAGTCTTCCAAGTTAACAAGTCCTCCAGTGACTCTGATGCCTGTTAACATTTGACAACTCCTGCCTGGCTCATGAAGATCCAGAAGTCCCTGGCCTGTGGTCCTTCCTTATTCTGGGCCCAGGAGATATGTTCCTCTTCCTCCAAGGCCCAGCACCATCTTTCCTCACTCTTTTTATTTTTTTGGAGACAGAGTCTCGCTCTGTTGCCACACGACAAGGCTCACTGCAGCCTCTGCCTCTTGGATTCAAGCGATTCTTATGCCTCAGCCTCCCAAGTAGCTGGGATTACAGGCAAGCGCCACCAAACTCAGCTAATTTCTGTATTTTTTGTTGTTGTTGTTCAGACGGAGTCTCGCTCTGCCGCCCATGCTGGAGTGCAGTGGCGCAATCTCGGCTCACTGCAACCTCTGCCTCCCGGGTTCAAGTGATTCTCCTGCCTCAGCCTCCCGAGCAGCTGGGACTACAGGTGCCCACCACCATGCCAGGCTAATTTTTGTATTTCTGGTAAAGACGGGGTTTCACCATGTTGGCCAGGATGCTCTCAATCTCTTGACCTTGTGATCCACCCGCCGTGGCCTACCAAAGTGCTGGGATTACAGGCGTGAGCCACTGCACCCAGCCATTTTTGTATTTTTAGTAGAGATGGGGTTTCACCACGTTGGCCAGGATGGTCTCGATCTCCTGACCTTGTGATCCACCCACCTTGGCCTCCCAAAGTGCTGGGATTACAGGTCTGAGCCACCGCGCCCAGCCTCTTTTTTTTTCTTTGTAAAGATGGAGTCTTGCTATGTTGACCTGGCTGGTCTCGAACTCCTGAGCTTAAGTGATCCTCTCACCTTGGCCTCCCAAAATACTGGAATTACAGATGTCAGCCATTGCACCTGGCCAACTCTTGTTTTCTTGAGAAGGGAGGACCATTGGCTTTCTGGTTCTTCAAGAGTGCGGAGGCTGGGTGCAATGGCTGGCACCTGTAATCCCAGCACTTTGGGAGGCTAAAAATACAAAGATTAGTCTGTCATGGTAGCACGTGCCTATAATCCCAGCTACTAGGGGGGCTGAGACAGGAGGATTGCTTGAACCTGGGAGGGAGAGGTTGCAGTGAGCCGAGATCACGCCACTGCACTTGAGCTGTAAAATAAACAAAAACGATGGATCCTGTGCATTTTAAGGTGTTTAGGAGCATCCCTGGCCCCCACCCACGACATCCGACTAGCACCTTCCAGTTACAACAACATGTCTCCAGGGATTGCCATGTGTCTCCTGGGGGTGCAGCAGCAGCACAGTTGCCCCCAGTTGAGAAGCACTTGTCTAAACACTGGGGTGCTTTGACCTGGCCTCAGCCCCAGAGCTTTAAGCGTCATCTATACCTGGCCAGATGCAGTGGCTCATGCTTGTAATCTCAGCACTTTGGGAGGCTGAGATGGGAGGACTGCTTGGGGCCAGGAGTTTGAGACCAGCCTGGTCAACACAGTGAGACCTCATCTCTATACATTTTTTAAAAAGTAAAAAAAAAATAATAATAATACTTAAAAAATTTTGGCCGGGCATGGTGACTCACGCCTGTAATCCCAGCACGTTGGGAGGCCGAGGCACGCGGATCACTTGAGGCCAAGAGTTCGAGACCAGCCTGGCCAACATGGTGAAACCCTGCGTCTACTCTTGGCACGAGAATCACTTGAACCCAGGAGATGGAGGTTGCAGTGAGCTGAGATCACAACACTGCACTCCATCCTGGGTGACAGAGCATCAAAATACTAATACTAATACTAATACTAATACTAATACTAATACTAATACTAATAATAATATCCTTCTTACTCCCAAAACTTACCCTTCCTGGGTCTTCCCCTTCCACATTTATCTAATTAAATTAAATTAAATTAATAATTATTTTTGTTTGTTTTTTGTGTTTTTTTGTTTGTTTGTTTTTGAGACAGAGTCTCGCTCTGTTGCCCAGGCTGGAGTGCAGTGGCGCGATCTCGGCTCACTGCAAGCTCCGTCTCCCGGGTTCACACCATTCTCCTGCCTCAGCCTCCCCAGTAGCTGGGACTACATGCACCCGCCGCCACACCCGGCTAATTTTTTGTATTTTTAGTAGAGACAGGGTTTCACCGTGTTAGCCAGGATGGTCTTGATCTCCTGACCTTGTGACCCACCCACCTTGGCCTCCCAAATTGCTGGGATTATAGGCATGAGCCACCGTGCCCGGCCTATTTTATTTTATTTTGAGACAAAGTCTCTCTCTGTTGCCCAGGTGACCTTGGCTCACCGCAACCTCCGCCTCCCGGGTTCAAGTGATTCTCTTGCCTCAGCCTCCCTAGTAGCTGGGATTATAGGCGCCCGCCACCATGCCTAGCTAATTTTTTGTATTTTTAGTAGAGAAGGGGTTTCTCCATATTGCCCAGGCTGGTCTTCACCATATTGCCCTGACCTCAAGATGATCCACCTGCCTGGGCCTCCCAAACTGCTGGGATTACAAGTGTGAGCCACCATGCCTGGCTATGAGTTCTACTTCTGTTTTTTTTTTTTTTTTTTTTTTTTTTTTTTTTTTTGAGACGGAGTCTCGCTGTCGCCCAGGCTGGAGTGCAGTGGCGAGATCCCAGCTCCCTGCAACCTCTGCCTCCCGGGTTCAAGCCATTCTCCTGCCTCAGCCTCCCGAGTAGCTGGGACTACAGGCGCCCACCACCACACCAGGGTAATTTTTTGTATTTTTAGTAGAGACAGCATGTCACCATGTTGGTCAGGCTGGTCTCGAACTCCTGACCTCATGATCCACCTGCTTGGGCCTCCCAAAGTGCTGGGATTCCAGGCGTGAGCTGCCGCACCCGGCTGAGTTTCTGCTTCTAAAGGCTGCACAGATAACAGTGTCAAGCACAGAGTCTCCACTCGAGAAATATTGGAAGAATGAAAAACAATAAAAATGAATACACAGCACGCACTTACCTGTCAGGCCTCACATTAAATACATTTCACATTTTATCACATTTAGTCCTTCTATCTACCTATGAAACCAGTAATAAATAGCATTCACTCCATTCAACACTTGAGGCAACTAAGAGGTCAACTAACTCCTCAAGGTTTCTCCATAACCTGGACGGCCAAGATTCCAGGAAGGCTGGCTATTGAGTCCACAGGACTCAGTACATTGCTTCTGCTGAGTGAGGCTGACTTTACAGAAGTAGCAACTGAGGCCCCGAGAGGGGGAACGATTTTACACCGGCATGCTGCCACTATAATTAGAGGCAGGGCAAAACCAGGCTAAACAAACTACAATTCCCATGAGCCTCCGGGGGCAGGGGCCCAGCCAGGGACGCTGCAGGCTACCCTGGGGCCTGCTGGGAGATGTAGTTCTGCAGTGTCACCTGAGACTGGGCGGGCTCACTCACCGCAGGACATAGGAACGGGCAGGTGCGCTCTTGTAGATATACTGCGCCAGCCACCACTGCACCGTCATGTTCCAGTACCGCATGCCATCGCGCACCCGCACGCAGAAATCTGTGCTGTAGCAGTCGATGTTGCGGATGGTCTCATAGTCATACTCCAAGGAAGCCGCCTTCTCCGGACTGGGGGGTGGAGGATGAGGGTGGGGGACAGACATGCAGCTCAGCCAGGCCCCCTCCCGACGCCTGCTAGTGTCCCAGCCCCGGATGCTAAGGAAGGGATCCTGGCCAGGCAATGGCCCTCTGGCTGTCAGACTTGCTAGGGCAGCAAGGGAGGGTGGCCCAGAGGGTGCCTGTAGGGTAGGAAGGTGGGTGGGCTGGGTGGTACAGTTCACTGACAATGGGGTTCTTCTTCTTTTGGTACCTAATGGGGCCCGCCACAGCCATGAAAAGCCTTGAAGGGCTATGGTTGCTAAGCTATGAGTCCTTTAGCAACCAAACTCAGTATATTCAGAGAAGCCGCCAAGGATGGTCCCTTCTAAATTGTCGGACACTGCAGTTGCCAGGGAAGTTGTGGTTATCATCCCTAATAACAAGGTGCTTCACGGTTGCTAGGGAGATGTTCCAGGCGCCAGTGGGGTCCCCATGATCTTTGTTGCTAAGGAAAAGGCATTCCTTAGCAACAATGCCTAGGATGTTTAGAAAGGCTTTTAGGAAGGGGCTTTTTTCCTGGTCGCAGTGATTATTGGAGAAGTGTCACCTCTAGCAATACAGTGGCTCCCTCATCACTCATGTCGACAGCCCCAGCAGTGGGAAACACTGGCCCATATGAAGCCTTGGTGGCCTCTGATGACAGGAGGGGAGCCATCCTTTAGGAGTGAGGACCGAGCAGATTTAGAAAAACCTTCAATTCCTGCTTGGCTTTACTAGGGGGACATCCTCTCTCTAGCAGCTGGAGGTCAGGGCACGGTTATTAGGGCAGTGGTAACAAATTCCCGTGGGGGTGTCACTACCCCCACAACAGAATGGCAGTTTGTGACGACTAGGGGACAACCCTAGCAGGGAGTAGTAGTTCATCATTTACATCAACAGGCTGTTCCCCCAGCCGCAGTCCAAGCCCCTGGGGGAAGGCTGACTGCAGCTGTCAGGAACACAAGGGCAGTCTACTCCTGGTTGCCGGGGGTGCCATCTCCCTAGCAACACGGGGGCAATACTTCCTCAGCCACAAGAGAGTCCACAGCTATGGCCGTGCGACTTGCCTAGCAATGCAGGTGCCGGGGGGTGGAGCCTCTCTGGCAACAAGGGTCAACCCATAGTTTCCAGGGGGAGGTTTGGCTTCCTTAGCAACAGTGTAACTGTAGTTGGTAGGAATGGCGTGCCCTCTGCTGGGGAACAGCACTGGTCAGGGATTGGAAATTGCTATTTCCTTGCAGAGGGCTGCTGAGGGCTGCTATGTGAGGACATCCCACGGGGTGGAGCAGTGCTAGCTCCTAGCAACAAAGGGGCAGTGCAGGGAGTGCCGTATCTGCAGCAACAGAGCAAAACTTCTGGTAAAAAGGAGGTGAGCTACTGTTGCTAGGGATCCTGCTTCCCTAGCAAATAGTGGCGTTCTGTTGCTAGGGAACCGTTTCCCTAGCAACAGAGGGTGACCCACCACTAGCAAAGGATGGCATCCCCAGCAAGCAGGAACAATCTGGTTCTGGGGGGTGACACTTCTGTGGCAACAGAGGGGTGGCACAGGGTTGCTAAGTTACCACCTTTTCCTAGCGACAGGGGGCAGTTCACCACACTGCGGGGTGACAAGCGCTAGCAACAAGGGGCATCTGTCAGTACCAGGGATCTTTTCCCTACCGACAGGGGCTGGCAGGCCATGGTTGCCGAGGGGGCGACACTCTGCTCAAAAAGGTGGTGGCCCTGGCCCCTTGCTCCCCGCTCTCCTCCCGGCTAGGGGCAGAGCCAGCCCTTGGAGGTGGGGGCTGCTGGGTCTTGGGAAGCCTCCCTCGCGCCGCCTGACCTGCTGGGGGGTGGGCATTGGAGGGTGGGGCCGCCTCCGGCCCGGGCTTTGGCGGCCACGGGGTAGGCCCCAAAGCCGGCGGCAATGCAGCCGCACTCGGCGGCAATCCAGGCCACGTAGAAGCGCATGCGGAAGGCGAAGAAGACGGGGATCATGTAGAAGAGGCGGGCGGGCAGCGGGCGGGCGTAGAAGGCGTCCTCGCGCACGGCCTCCAGCGGGAAGAGGTGAGAGGAGAGCAGGAACAGCAGGCCGAAGAGCGGGGCCGGCCAGGCGCGGCGCAGCAGGGGCCGCAGGCTGGGCACTGCCCCGGGGAAGGGCTGCTCCAGCCAGTCCAGGTAGGTGCGGTAGCGGAAGAACGGGCCTGTGGGGCGGGGAGGGAGGGCCGCGGTCAGACAGGCAGGTGGGCAGAGCTCAAGTCTGCAGGAGGAGGACAGGGAGCTTGGAAGGAAGGTGGGAAGAGGGAGTGAGAGGGGCAGAGACTGGGCGCCGGGGAGACCCCAAGGGTAGGGACTGAGACCCTGAGAGATGGGGATAAGGAACGAGAGACAGGGGGGACAAGAAACTCAGAGAGACAGAGACAGTAACAGAAAAACAGACAGAGGGGCCGGTGCGGTGGCTCACACCTGGAATCCCAGCACTTTGGGAGGCCTAGCTGGGAGGACTGCTTGAGCCCAACAGTTGGACAGCAGCCTGGGCAAAACGGCAAGACCCCATCACTACAAAAAATAAAAATCAGCCAGGTGTGGAGGGCACCTGAATTCCCAGCTACTGGGGAGGCTGAGGCGGGAGGATCGTTTGAGCCCAGGCTGCAGTGAGCAGTGACTGAGCTACTGCATTCCAGCCAGGGAGGGAGGGAGGGAGGGAGGGAAGGAGTGAAGAAGGGAAGAAAGAAGGGAGGGAAGGAGGGAAGGAAGGAGGGAGGGAAGGAGGGAAGGAAGAAGGGAGGGAAGGAGGGAAGGAAGGAGGGAGGGAGGGAAGGAGGGAAGGAAGGAGGGAGGGAAGGAGGGAAGGAAGGAGGGAGGGAGGGAAGGAGGGAAGGAAGGAGGGAGGGAAGGAGGGAAGGAAGAAGGGAGGGAAGGAGGGAAGGAAGGAGGGAGGGAGGGAAGGAGGGAAGGAAGGAGGGAGGGAGGGAAGGAGGGAAGGAAGGAGGGAGGGAGGGAGGGAAGGAGGGAAGGAAGGAGGGAGGGAAGGAGGGAAGGAAGGAGGGAGGGAAGGAAGGAGGGAGGGAAGGAGGGAAGGAAGGAGGGAGGGAAGGAAGGAGGGAAGGAAGGAGGGAAGGAAGGAGGGAGGGAAGGAAGGAGGGAGGGAAGGAAGGAGGGAGGGAGGGAGGGAAGGAGGGAAGGAAGGAGGGAGGGAAGGAGGGAAGGAAGGAGGGAGGGAAGGAAGGAGGGAGGGAAGGAGGGAAGGAAGGAGGGAGGGAAGGAAGGAGGGAAGGAAGGAAGAAGGGAAAAGGGAAGGACGGAGGGAAGGAGGAAGGAAAGAAACTAGGAGATAGCTGTGGCACTTTAGCTACAATATGATGGTGGTCTGGCCTAGGGAGGAAGCAGTGTGATTCACAGAAGGGACCGGGGTTAAAATTTTTATATGTTCACAAAGGCCGTATGTTTAGGTCAATGTAGCATGGGAAGATAAAAGGAAAAAAAAAACAAATTAAAATAAATAAATAAGACCACATGTTGTATGATTCCATTTGTAAGCGCAATGTCCAGAACAGGCAAATCTTTACAGATAGAAAGTCAATTACTGGTTACCAGGGATGGATGGAGGTTTGTGGGATGATGGACATGGGGTTTCTTTGCAGGGTATGAAACTGTTCTGAATATAACTACACAATGGTCATGTCTGCACAACTCGGTGAATATACTAAAAATCAGGGAGTTGTATGTTTTGTGTTTTTTTTTTTTTCCAGGAAATTAAAGAAGCCAAGAGTTGTATGTTTTAAGTGGATGAGTATGTGAATTAGAGTTCCCTAAAGCTGTTATTGGAAAAAAAACCTTTGATGAGGTAAACATTAATGAAAAATATTTTCTTTTTAAAATTTCACATATATATACACATACACACATACATATATATACACACATGCACACACACATACATATGTATTTTTTGAGATGGAGTCTTGCTCTGTTGCCCAGGATGGAGTGCAGTGGTGTGATCTTGGCTCACTGCAAACTCCGTCTCGTGGGTTCAAGCGATTCTCCAGTTTCAGCCTCCCAAGTAGCTGGGATTACAGGCACACACCACCATGCCCGGCTAATTTTTGTATTTTCAGTAGAGACGGGGTTTCACCATGTTGGCCAGGCTGGTCTCAAACTCCTGACCTCAGGTGATCTGCCTGTCTCAGCCTCCCAAAGTGCTGGGATTACAGGCGTGAGCCACTGCGCCCGGCCCTTTTAATTTTATATTTATTTATTTTTTAAAAATAAAGGTTTAAAATAAAGGGACGGGATCTTGCTATGTTGGCCAAGTTGATCTTGAACTTTTGGCCTCAAGCAATCCTCTCGCCTCAGCCTCCGAAAGTGCTAGGATTATAGGCATAAGCCCCCACGCCCAGATGAAAAATATTTCCTTAAGCTGAAAGTGGACCCTAAGCCGTGAATATTTGTTGTCTGGGAAGCAAAAACATCAGGTTGACATAGATCTTTACCTCCTTTATCTCTTCTCTTTGCTCCCAATACGCTACAAGGAGAAGAGCAAGGAATTGCTTAGGTTGAGACAGCCAGCTTCTACCCCAAAGCAGCTCTGGTCCAGCGGAGGTGTGAGACGTAGACCCAGACACATGCCCACCCTCACAGCAGCAGATGCTAGGATGGAGGTTGCCCTGGGCAGGGCGGGAACACACAACAGGCACTCAGGGCGGAAGGGGACACAGGAGACAGAGCGGCAGAGTTGTTAGGGCAGCCCCACTCACCTGTCATGATTCCCACGTAGCAGTAGCTGTAGCTGAGTGTCTCCATCAGGGAGGGCACGTCGGGCAGCAGCCCCAGGGTGGGCCCCTTGCTGAAGCCTGAGGCCATTTCCTTCCTCTGGGCCAGATGCAGGTCCTGGACTTCACTGGCCAGGCTCACCAGCTGGGCAGAAGGGGGTGGGCAAGGGGCCAGGTCAGACTCTGGGCCCTTCCCCACACCCATCTCCCTTGCGCGGCTGCCCTCGGCAGCCAAGGGGTGCTGGGTGCCCGCAGCTCTGCCCATCTAGGTTGTGTGTAACGCCTCTAGCTGGGCGGTGTTCCCCAGGGCTCAGTCCCAGGCCCTCCTCCCCTTTCCCTGTTCTGTGCTTACCTGCTCTCACGCAATCACGGAGGTTTCGATACTATCCACACGCTGAGGACGCCCAAACGCTACCCCAGCCCCAGACCTATCCAATCAAGTGGCTTATTGGCATTTATACTCGGATGTCTCCAGGCACCCCAAACGCACTGGAAACGGAACATGATGTTACCCACCCCACAAGGTAGACCCTCTTCTAGTGTCTCCCCTCAAACAACAGGCCACCAAATTGTTCAAGCCAAAAATCTCCCTCACTCCCCAAATCCGATCCTTTAATCTCTCTTTTTTTTTTTTTTTTTTTTTGAGACAAGTTTTGCTCTGTCACCCAGGCTGGAGTATACTGGTGTGATCTCGGCTCACTGCAACCCCCACCTCCTGGGGGCGCAAGCAATTCTCATGCCTCAGCTGGCCAGGCTGGTCTCGAACTCCTGGCCTCAAGTGATCTGCCCGCCTTGAAATCCCTTAAGTTTGAGTCTGTTGCCTCTTTCCATCTCCACTACTGAGCTGAATATGTTGTACTCTCCACCCTTTCCCACCAGTCCCAAGGTCCACCCTATATCAATAGATCTCCTTCTTCCAGCTTGTGGCTGGGTTGTCAGTAGAAATCCCTGGCTGGAGACAAAGTCAGGAGAGGGAGGGTAGGGCTTTTATTCCCTTGTAAGATGGCCTTGGGCTGGCTGTCACCCTTGATAGATCATTTCAAGGTGGGTGGCTCTACACACCCTTTAAAAAAAATAATTTTGGCCGGGCGCGGTGGCTCACGCCTGTAATCCCAGCACTTTGGGAGGCCGAGGCAGGCGGATCACCTGAGGTTGGGAGTTCGAGATCAGCCTGACCAACATGGAAAAACCCTGTCTCTACTAAAAATACAAAAAATTAGCCGGGCATGGTGGTGAGTGCCTGTAATTCCAGCTACTCAGGAGGCTGAGGCAGGAGAATCGCTTGAACCTGGGAGGCGGAGGTTGCGGTAAGCCAAGATCGTACCATTGCACTCCAGCCTGGGCAACAGGAGTGAAACTCCGTCTCAAAAAAAAAAAAAAAAAAAAAATTTAGGGCCAGGTGTGACGGCTCACACCTATAACACTAGCACTTTGGTTGGCCTAGGCAGGCAGATCACTTGATGTCAGGGGTTTGAGACCAGCCCGGCCAACATGGTGAAACCCCATCTCTACTAAAAATATAAAAATTAGCAAGGCGTGGTGGTGGGCGCCTGTAGTCCCAGCTACTCGAGAGGCTGAGGCAGGAGAATCGCTCGAACCCGAGAGGCAGAGGTTGCAGTGAGATCACACCACTGCACTCCAGCCTGGGCAACAGAGCGAGACTCCATCTTTAAAAATAAATAACATTTAAAAAATTAATTTTTTGTAGAGACAGGGTCTCACTATATTGCCCAGGCTGGTCTTAAACTCCTGGCCTCCAGCAGTCCTCCCACTATGACCTCCCAAAGCGCTGGGATTATACAAGTATGAGCCACTGCACCAGGCCTACACAACCCTTTTTCCATCCAGGTACCACAACCTGACCCATTTCCCCTGGGCCTAGGGTTGGGAACGGCTCCTTCTGCGGGGCTGGGGTTCAGGCACCATCCCTTCTTGCTCTTCTACATCCTGCCCAATTGGTGGCCACTCCTTCAGTCATCCTAAATGCGCGTTTCCTGCTGCAACTCAGACCTACCCACAGCCAGCCAACGGCCTGTATCAAGCCACCACAGTTTGTCACCTGGACTCGGACAAAGGAGGATCCCTTTATCTGAGTCCATCCCATCTTGCCCTGTTCCACTTCAATTCTCCTTCAGCATCCAGAACGAGTTTTCTTTCTTTTCTTTTCTTTTTTTTTTGAGATGGAATCTTGCCCGGGAAGGCCCAGGCTGGAGTGCAATGGCGGGATCTTGGCTCACTGCAACCTCCACCTTCCAGGTTCAAGCAATTATCCTGCCTCAGCCTCCTGAGTAGCTGGGATTACAGGTGTGAGCCACCACACCCGGCTCATTTTTGTATTTTTAGTAGAGACGGAGTTTTACCATGTTGGCCAGGATGGTCTCAAACTCCTAACCTCAGGTGATCTACCCGCGTCAGCCTCCCAAAGTGCTGGGATTACAGGCGTGAGCCACCGCAGCTGGCCTAGAATGAGTATTTCTATTTGTTTATTTATTTTTGAGATGGAGTTTTGCTCTTGTTGCCCAGGCTGGAGTGCAATGGTACGATCTCAGCTCACCACAACCTCCGCCTCCTGGGTTCAAGCAATTCTCCTGCCTCAGCCTCCCGAGTAGCTGGGATTACAGGTATGTGCCACCACGCCCAGCTAATCTTTTGTATTTTTAGTAGAGACAGGGTTTCTCCATTTTGGTCAGGCTGGTCTTGAACTCCCGACCTCAGGTGATCCGCCTGCCTCAGCCTCCCAAAGTGCTGGCATTACAGGCGTGAGCTACTGTGCCCAGCCAGAACGAGTATTTTTAAACATTTAAAACTGGTCACATTGCCTCTTCTGGCAGCAAACCAAAAATCCCCTCTTCCAGCAGATCTCAATCCTCCACGGGAAGAAGTCCAATGTCCTCACGGTCTCCAGCCAGGCCTAGCACGGTGTCAGCCCTGCTGCCTGTTCCCTTTTGCTCGTCCCAGAAAGTGGATGTGGCTGGTGTAGCCTGTGGAACCCAGCCTGCTCCCCTCCACACATCCTGCGGCCTGAAATGCTCCTCCACGAACCCCTCTCTCATCCAACCTACTCCTGCCACCACTGAGCTCCCACAGGGCACACTGAATGCTGGGAAGGCCACTCCCTACCTAGCATGACTGCTGTGTTCACGGATAAGCCGCCAGTAGGAAACCATGACTCTGTGGGTCTGGGGTGGGCCCTAGGATTCTGTTTTTACCCCTCTTCCCAGGTGATTAGGAGCCAGACCTGGATGCCCTAGTTTTGTTCCCTTCACCAAGTACCTTCTCCCCAGAGCTGGTTTTTCTCCTTTGCAAAATAGCTGGCTACAGAGATTCAAGGACAGCATGTTGGTAAACCACCCAGCTGGGCCTCTGGCACACCGCAAGCACCCAATGGCACCTACTGTTACCTATGTGGGTTATTTCCTCACCCCAGGAGGAGCTGGGAGGTGAAGACCTGCCCAAGGGCATGTGAATGGGGAATGCTGTGCCCAGGGCAGCAAGTGAGGTGACGTCCCACCCCCAGGGTGTGTTGGAGGTAAAATCCCGGGGAGCCACTGAAGGGGGAGGTAAAGTGGGAGGTGAAGGGGCCCACAGGGAGGCTGGAGGGGAGTGGCAAGCCCCGAGTCTGACCTTCAGCGTCAGCAGCAGCTGGACGGCATTGGTGAAGGGCGTGGGAGTGGGCAGGCCCAGGAGGCTGAGGGCTCGGAAGAACAGGAGATAGGAGAAAGTCCAGGCCAGAGCCAGGGCGTGGCAGGAGCTGGGCAAAAGCAGGAGGCGCACTGTGTTGGGCACAGAAGTCTCGGCCTTGGCCATTCACTCCACGAGTCCAGCCACCAATCCTCCCCCAGCTCTCCCCATTCGTTTAGAGACAGAAACACAGAAGGGCAGAGAGGACAGGAGGGTGGATGTAGGGACCGAATGAGTATGATTGAAACAGTGGGAGAAGAGGCTCAGCCACATAGAAACACACACCAACAGAGAATGAGGTTAAGAGAAGCTTCAGGTGAAGACCCTGCAATCCTCCACTTTTTCTTTATTTCCGAGGTCCAGGGCTCAAGAAGAGAGAGGTGGATATGAATGAATATGAACGGTGGCCAGGCCAGCAGACACACTGTCCACCTCTCTCCATGACATGGATGTAGCGGACTGGGACAAACACACAGGGACCAGACGCAGAAGGCAGGGGAGAAAGAAAAGCAGATGAAGGCCGGATACGGTGGCTCACGCCTGTAATCCCAGCACTTTGGAAGGCTGAGGTGGGCAGATCACAAGGTCAGGAGTTCGAGATCAGCCTGACCAACATGGAGAAACCCCGGCTCTATTAAAAATTCAAGATTAGCCAGGCGTGGTGGAGCATGCCTGTAGTCCCAGCTACTTGGGAGGCTGAGGCAAGAGAATCGCTTGAACCCGGGAGGTGGAGGTTGCAGTGAGCCAAGATCGTGCCACTGAACTGCAGCCTGGGCAACAGGAGCGAAACTCCATCTCAAAAAGAAAGAAAGAAAGAAAAACAAACAAACAAACAAACATGAAACAGAGAAATGAGCTGATCAACAAGAGACAGCTAGAGATGAGGCAGAAGCTGAAAAAGACTCAAAGAGGAAACAGGTTGCTTCCCCCTCTCCCCTCCTCTCCCTCTCCTCCCTCCACCAAATTCTCACCAGGGCTGGGCCTGAATGAGGGCCCAGGTCCCGAGGATGGTGACCAGAGAATGCAAAGTGTGGGGGCCACAGGTGAACAGGGTGAGCCCCAGGCCCACAGCGGCTGCTCCCCATCTCTTCAGCCCAGGACCTGCAGGGGGAAGGGACAGCATAAGCCTGGAACCTTCCAGAGGGTCCCCCCCCTTTATTTTCCACTGGGGAGGGAGCCTGACTCACCGGCTTTCTTAAAGAGGAAGCCGATGGGGATGGAGATAAGAAGAACCACTAGATACGTCCATTCTTCAGGCGACATGGTCTGGGGGAGGGGCAGAGATTCACAGTGAGAACCCAGGAATCCAGGCCCCCTGCCTCCTCCCTCTTCGAGGATCCAGGAACCCAGCCTTCTAGACCCCAGTTTTTGAGGATGATGGAGTATGAGCCTCAGCTCCTCTCCTTTGAGAACCTAGCAACCCGGACTCCAGCCCCTTCCTCCTTGGAGGAGACAGGAATCCACCCCCAGCCCCTCCTTTGAGCGCACAGGCCTCCAGCTCTCCTGTCCTTGGAGAACCCAGGAAAGTGTGGGGATCTCCCAGCACCCAAGCCCCTCCTTTGCGAACGCAGAAATCAAAGCTACTCCCCGCACCCATACTGGGGACCCAGATTTGAAGACGCCCCTCTTTTAAAAACCCAGAAACGGCACCCCTCCCGGACCCTTCCTCTTCGACAGCCCAGGAATCTAGACCTCCGAGCCCCCTCTTCCAGCGAGGATCCAGGAACCCAGACCCCCTCTTTGGATCCCCCATCCCCCGGCCCTTGTGAAACCAGATATCCGGACCCCCCAGCCCTTCTTCGAGACCACCCAGAGGAGCCCGGGTCTCCAACCTGCACCTCCTTCGGAGCTCCACACCCCTCTCCTACTGAGAACCCGGGGATCGAACACCCTCCCCTCCCCAGGCCCAGGCCCAGGCCCAGCCCCAACCCGTCCCGCGCACCCCAGCGCATCCCCGGCAGAGCCACAGGCGGTTGCGCCAGCCCCGAGTTCCAACGCGCCTCCGGGGCCGCCCCGCACCCGCCAGCCCGCAGAGACCCTGCCGCCGTGTAACCTCGCCTCGCCACTGGGCGCCGCCACCCTGGCCCACCTGAGCTGCTCGCCGGGCAGGAGGCGGCCGAGCAGTCCCAGCCCGCTTGCCGCCGCAGCTCCGGCCACGCCTCCCCCGCCCAGCGCGCCCCCGCGCCGCCTGCTCCTTCTGGGCGCCCGCCGGGCTGCGCAGATCAGGCCGGGGAAGAAGCCACGGTCAGGGCCCCGGGCGGGCAGGGAAGAAGCCCCGGAGCAGAAGCCGAGAGCGCGAGTCGGCAACGGGATTCGAGTCCAGGTCCACACTGGGATCCGAGCTCCGAGTACGTGAAGGGGCGGGCCTTCGGGCTCGGAACAAGGAGGAGCCAAAAGCTTTGGACCCGAAGGGGAACAGACGGGCTCCGGAAAGGAGGCGGGGTCTGGAGCTCGCCGTGAGGAATGAGGCGGGGTCTCCCTTCGGGTTCCTTCGGGCACAATCGGGAGCTTGAGTTCTCCGGAAGCGGGGCCACAAACTTCGGCTCACTTCGGCAATAGTCGAGAACGGAGAGCTGAGGCCAGTGTGGGCGGAGCCACATGTTTCGGCTTTCTTCGGAGGTAGTCGAGTCCTTAGGGTCACTGTTCCGATGTGGGCGGGGCCACAGACTCGGCCGGATGTGGGTGGGGCCACAAGCTTCGGTTTACTTCGTAGATAGTTGGGTACAAGTGACGCTAGGATGATAGGCGGAGTCAACAGGTTCGCCAGATACCCATGAGTATTTACAAGGGGGCGGGGCGAAAGCGACTTGCCCTCAAAGGGGCGGAACCCCGAGGGCCGGCGTGCGCCTACGGGACCGGGCCAGGGTGACGATCCTCAAGTTCCCAAGTAGAGGAGAGGAAGCGGCAGAGGGAGGTGCGCTCAGTGGGGCGGAGCCAAGGTGGCCCCCGCGGGAGGAGGGCGGGGCTTCGGTCCTGCGAGGGGCGGGACCTGACTTCCCGCGGCGCTGATGGGGCGGGATGACGAAGTTGACGAGGGTGTCGGCATGAGGGGGTGGAGCAAGGAGCGCGTGGCGCGGTGCGCAGTGGGTGGCTCCACCTCGACTGCGAATTACTGTTTATGAGGTGACTCGCTGGTTCTATCGGTGGACAGTGGGACATTCTGAAGGGAGGCAAGGAGGCGGACTGAGCGCTCCCAATTGGGGTGAGCCCGCCCGAGCGGAGAGTGGACGGCGGGTGTCCAGGGGGCGGGGCTTTCGGCTGTGGGGTTCGGTCGTAGGGCGGGAACTCCCCAACTGGGGTGCGCTGGCGCTCGGAGGGGGCGGGGCCACAGGCCGCGAGGCTGCCGGGAGCCGATGACGCCCGAACGCCGAACCTATTGCGTCCGGGAGGAGGCGGGGCTACGGATTCGGCCGAGCCGAGAACACCCGAACGTCAAATTGCTGGCGTTCGGGAAGGGGGCGGGGCTGCGGATTCGGTGGAGCCGAGGACGCCCGAACGCCGAACTTCCTGTGCTCGGGAGGGGGCAGGGTTTTGTACTGTGGGAGTCTGAGAGCGAGGAGGTCCGAAAGCCGAATCACAGTCGTTCGGAAAGAGGAGGAGCGAAGGCTCGAGCGTCCGGAAGAGGGTGTGGCCTCGGCGGTGCCTTAGCCTCCAGAGCTTCTGACCGCTGACGGGAACACCCGAAGGGGGACGCCCACTTTGCAAGAGGGTGGTGCCAAAATGGACCTTTGTAAGGGGGCGTGTCGCCGCGCTTGCGGAGGTTTGTTTTTCACGCTCCAAGGCGCAATGGTAGGTACGGCAGTGCGGGCACAGAGCGGGTGCCGACCGCAGGGTCACAAGGGTAGAGCGGGACCCTGGGGGCTTGGCGAGGGGCGAGGGTCGGGGGCTTGTCTCCGGCGTCTCGTCTCCGGCGGCCGCGAGGCCTGGTGGGATCGCCCGGGGGCGGGGCCTGGCGCTCGGGCCCAGCAGGTGGTGAACGGCGGCTGAGCGAGGCCCCGCCCCCTGAGGCCTAGGGGCGGGGCTTCGCCGAGACCCCGGAGGCTTTGGGTGCGCTGCAGCGGTCTGCGGCGCGCAGCTGTTTCGGTAACTGCTTTGCCTCCCGGCTCCCGCAGGAGGATGCTGGTGGTGGAGGTGGCGAACGGCCGCTCCCTGGTGTGGGGAGCCGAGGCGGTGCAGGCCCTCCGGGAGCGCCTGGGTGTGGGGGGCCGCACGGTAGGCGCCCTGCCCCGCGGGCCCCGCCAGAACTCGCGCCTGGGCCTCCCGCTGCTGCTGATGCCCGAAGAGGCGCGGCTCTTGGCCGAGATCGGCGCCGTGACTCTGGTCAGCGCCCCGCGTCCAGACTCTCGGCACCACAGCCTGGTAAGGGGGCGGGGCTCGAACTCGGGTTCGGTGGGAGCGGGACCTGGGAGTCAAGTTTCCTGGCTTCTGAAGGGACCATAAGCTTGGAGGTTCCAGCGAAGTGTGCTTCTCAGGCCCTGACATCCTTCAAGCGCCAGCAAGAGGAGAGCTTCCAGGAGCAGAGCGCCTTGGCAGCTGAGGCCCGGGAGACCCGTCGTCAGGAGCTCCTGGAGAAGATTACGGAGGGCCAGGCTGCTAAGAAGCAGAAACTAGAACAGGCTTCAGGGGCCAGCTCAAGCCAGGAGGCCGGCTCGAGCCAGGCTGCCAAAGAGGATGAGACCAGTGATGGCCAGGCTTCGGGAGAGCAGGAGGAAGCTGGTGAGCATGGGAGGTGGAGTCCAGGGACCACGGGAAGGAGAGGAGAGATCTTTTAGGAATTTTAGCTGGGAATCCAGTGCCTGGGTCTCCCTGAGGGTGAGAAGACTTTACCCCTTGAATTTACCAAACTCTTCTCTGTACTCCCCACCAGGCCCCTCGTCTTCCCAAGCAGGACCCTCAAATGGGGTAGCCCCCTTGCCCAGATCTGCTCTCCTTGTCCAGCTGGCCACTGCCAGGCCTCGACCGGTCAAGGCCAGGCCCCTGGACTGGCGTGTCCAGTCTAAAGACTGGCCCCACGCCGGCCGCCCTGCCCACGAGCTGCGCTACAGTATCTACAGAGACCTGTGGGAGCGAGGCTTCTTCCTCAGTGCGGCTGGCAAGTTCGGAGGTGACTTCCTGGTCTATCCTGGTGAGTATGGGTTGGGGCCTCTGGTTGCTGTGCCTTTCCATACGATCCCAATGTATTCTGCGTTTTTCTTTTTTTTTTTTTTGTCTTAATAGAGGTGGGGTCTCTTGTTGCTTAGGCTGGTCCCTATTCCTGGGCTCAAGCAATCCTTCCACCTCGGCCCCCCAAAGTGCTGGAATTATAGGCCCAGCTGCATTTTTCTTTTTTGTCTCACTTTCTCTTAGCCTCTGAAATTCATAGACAGACAGGAAACATTTGGGAGCTCCTGAACTCATTGGGCAAGCAGTTTAACGACTTTTATTAAATGATTACTGTGATCCAGAAGATTCACTTAGAAGTAGTTAGACATCAGGCTGGGCGCAATGGCTCACGCCTGTAATCCCAACACTTTGGGAGGCCAAGACAGGTGGATCACCTGAGGTCAGGAGTTTGATACCAGTCTGGCCAACATGGTGAAACCCCATCTCTACTAAAAATACTAAAACTAACTGGGCGTGGTGGTGGGTGCCTGTATTTCCAGCTACTCGGGAGGCTGAAGCAGGAGAATCATGTGAACCCAGGGGGCAGAGGTTGTAGTGAGCCAAGATCGTGCCATTGCACTCCAGCCTGGGGGACAAGAGCGAGACTTTGTCTCAAAAAAAAAAAAAAAAAAAAGCCTAGAAGTGGAATAGTTGTGTCCAAGAGCATCTGTTTTAGAGTATCTATAGTGATGGCTGAAATGATCTCAGATCTCCTCCCAGTGGTCGTTCCCGTGGCGTCCAGCCGTCTGCCATTGGTCACTGCTTCAGTGCCTCTCTCCTTCCCCCAGGTGACCCCCTCCGCTTCCACGCCCATTATATCGCTCAGTGCTGGGCCCCCGAGGACACCATCCCACTCCAAGACCTGGTTGCTGCTGGGCGCCTTGGAACCAGCGTCAGAAAGACCCTGCTCCTCTGTTCTCCGCAGCCTGATGGTAAGGTGGTCTACACCTCCCTGCAATGGGCCAGCCTGCAGTGAACTCCAGAGACCTAGGGGATGTGGCTGTGTCGGCAGCAAGAGCCTTTCTGGATGTTCCCCAGCTCTTCTCTGGGAGTCTAGAACATCCTCCTACCTTTCTCCGCGGTTAGTTTTTGATTCCAGGTTTTCGAACACTACATCTTTTTTATGTTCTTCCTTGTTTCAAAGCACTTATTGGCTGTGTTTTTGTAGTTACCTATTTTCACACTGTGAGCTTCCCGAGAATGGGGCCTGGGTTTGATTCATCTGTTTTCTACAGGGTTTAAGTCTCAGGAGGTCTCAATAAACTTGGTATATAAATGTTCATGATTTGAATGTTTGCGACAGTCCTGGAACCCGTGGATGGTCTCATCTGCATGTACAGGTGAGAAAAAGGCCTGGAGGGGGGGGACTGACTTGCCCAAAGTCACACACTTAGTAAATAGCAGGCCTGGCCTTTCAAAATTGGTTTTTCTGACTCCTAAATCTGCACTCTTTCTACCTCACTAAACTTCCTCTTGAAAAGATTTCTATGAAATTTCCCAGATGCATACAAACGTTATAAATAAAAATATAGGCTGGGCACGATGACCCACACCTGTAATCCCACAGAACTTTTGGAGGCCAAGGCAGGGGGATCGCTTGAGCCCAGGAGTTTGAGACCAGCTCTGGCAACATTGTAATACCCAGTCTCTACAAAAAATAATTTAAAAAAAAATTAGCCAGGGATCCCTTGAGCCTGGGAAGTTGAGGCTGCTGTGAGCTGTGATTGCACCACTGCCCTCCAGCCTGGGAGACAGAGCAAGAACCTGTCTCAAAAAATATATATATGTGTGTGTGTATATATGTAAATATACACACATGTATGTATATATATGTGTGTGTATATATATATATATTATGAAAGGAAATGAGTATTGTAATTTTAGGAGTTCAGAGCCTGGGGAGAAAGGAAGGACTCTGGAAGGCGTTCTGCTTTTTCATGGCCTGGGTAGTGGTGGAGAATTTTTTTGATACTGTATATTTATATTTTAGACTCTTTTTTGGATGTGTTATATTCTGCAATTTTTATAAAAGCTAAAACACATGTATTTGTAAAAAATTTGCACTTATGAAATCATTTACCCATGTTTTTGCTTAAGAAAGTACTAGAACACTACCACTATTCCAATAATTACACCTTTATCTTATCAATGTGCAGTTTTATTTTGTCACGTTTATTTTGTCAGTGTAATACATTCACATGGTGAGTCTGGGCGTGGTGGCTTATGCTTGTAATCCCAGCACTTTGGGAGACCAAGGCGGGCGGATCATGAGGTCAGGAGTTCCAGAGCATCCTGGCCAACATGGCCCGCCTCTATGAAAAATACAAAAATTAGCCGGGCGTGGTGGCGGGCGCCTGTAATCCTAGCTACTCCGGAGGCTGAGGCAGGAGAATCACTTGAATCTGGGAGGTGGAGGTTGCAGTGAGCCAAGGTCACGCCACTGCACTCCAGTCTGGGCGACAGAGCTAGACACTGTCTCAAAAAAACAAAAACAAACAAAAACTTCCACATGGTAAAATTCTGGGGCTGAAAGTCTCCACCTCTAGTTCTTCCATTTCTTCCCCCCATGTTTCATTCTTTCTCTTTTTTGTGTGAATTGAGCAGCCTCTGGAACCAGAATAGGTTTAGAGAGACTCCCATCTCCCCTCTTTCTTGCCATTCCCAGTAAACAGACTTCATAGAATCTCAATTTCCTGTAAGTTTAGATTAATTTAAAATATGACACTGGGCCAGGCGTGGTGGCTCACACCTGTAATCCCAGCACTTTGGGAGGCTGAGGTGGGCAGATGAGTTTGAGATCAGCCTGGCCAATATGGTGAAACCCCATCTCTACTAAAAATACAAAAAAAAAAATTAGCCGGGCGTGGTGGCATGCGCCTGTACTCCTAGCTACTCAGGAGCCTAAGGCAGGAGAATCACTTGAATCCAGGAGGCAGAGGTTGCAGTGAGCCAAGATCGCACTACTACACTCCAGCCTGGGCAACAAGAGCTAAACTCCATCTCAAAAAAATAAAAAGAAAAGAAAAAAAATGACGCTAACCCCTGTCTGGCCAATACTCTCTTTGTGCCTGCTTCATAATTGGCTTTGTAAGTCTATTCTCCACCCTTTCTCCTCTCTACAACAAAGTACTTAGAAGTCTCATTCCCTCTGTCATGAGTCTCTCCTCTGAAAAGTTCCTCATTTAAAACTCCTGTGGCCAGATGTGGTGGCTCAGACCTGTAATCCTAGCACTTTGGGAGGCCAAGGTGGGAAGATCAGTTGAGCCGCTGAGCTCAGGAGTTTGAGACCAGCCTTGGCTGAACATAGTGAGACCTCATCTCATCTCTATTTAAAACAAACAAACAAAAAAAAACTTTTGTGACTGGTGTCCCCCCATGTTGTCAGTCAACAAATTCTATAGGTGCCATGTTCAAAGCACTGTGGATCCACAGTTAGGCCCCACCCTCCACCTTCACTGCCAGTATCTTAGAAAAACCAAACCATGGCTCATTTGATATTGATAGCTTCCTAACTCATCCCCTGCCTTCCATTCTTGCCCCTCTGTTGTCTGTTTTCAACAGAGCAGCCAGAATCATCGTTTTTTTTTTTGTTTTTTTTTTTTTTTTTTTTTTTGAGGCGGAGTCTCGCTGTCGCCCAGGCTGGAGTGCAGTGGCGCGATCTCTGCTCACTGCAAGCTCCGCCTCCCGGATTCACGCCATTCTCCTGCCTCAGCCTCCCTAGTAGCCGGGACTACAGGCGCCCGCCACCTCACCTGGCTAATTTTTTGTATTTTTAGTAGAGACGGGGTTTCACCATGTTAGCCAGGATGGTCTCGATCTCCTGACCTTGTGATCCACCCGCCTCGGCCTCCCAAAGTGCTGGGGTTACAGGCGTGAGCCACCGCGCCCGGCCAGAATCATCATATTAAAAGATAAGTCAGACCATGTCACAGCTCTGTCTAAAACTTTCCTGGAGTTTTCCATCTCAGAGTAAAACTCAAAGGTCCTACTTTGCAGCTTCCTCATGAACTGGCCATGTGCATTCTCTTCCTTGCTTATTATTATTATTATTATTTATTTTTTTTATTTTTGAGACAGAGTCTTGCTCTGTTGCCCAGGCTGGAGTGCAGTGGCACAATCTCGGCCCACTGCAGCCTCTGCCTCCTGGGTTCAAGTGGGTTCAAGCGATTCTCCCACCTCAGCCTCCCAAGTACCTGGGATTACAGGCGCCTGCCACCACGTCAGGCTAATTTTTTGTATTTTAGTAGAGACAGGGTTTCACCATAATTGCCCAGGCTCGAACTCCTGAGCTCAGGCAATCCGCCCACCTCAGCCTCCCAAAGTGCTAGGATTATAGACATGAGCCACCGTGCCCGGCCAGCTTTGTTCCTCTTTACTGCTGGATATTCCATTGTATGGACATAACCCCATTTTATTTATCCATTCATCAGGTGATTGGCATTTGTTTCTAGTTAAGGACAAGGTTTTGGTTTTGGTTTTTGTTTTATTTACCCTTGTTCATGCAGTATCCCCAGGTCCAAGAACAGTTCCTGGCACACAGCAGTCAATACATTGTTGCTAAATAAATGAGTGGCTTAAACTATAATTTTTAAATCAGGGCTGAGACAATTTGGAAATTATAATTTCTCCTACATGACTTTCTAAGCATATTTTAAATAAATATACATACGTTAAGGTCATTTTTATTAATGAAAATTGTAGCATACTATGCACACTTCTGCATCTTGCTTATTGGATATGCCCAGGCTTGTCTCATTTTTGCCAACAGCTACATGGTTTTGCGTCCTATGGATGGGGCATAATTAGATTTTATTACACTTGTACAAAAGGAAAGGAATTCAGCTCCCCAAGCATGCCCAGCTGGTCCTTGGCAACCCATGATGGAAACCAAGGGTTCCTCTTATATTACCCGTGCTCCTTTCAGAGAGGAAGGGCTAGAGGGCTCCAGCCTGAGTGAGAGAGAGAGAGGAGGAAGCATGAGGGGTTTGTGGAAGAGGGCCTGGTGCCATATGACTGGACCATGCTTCTGAAGAGGATCAGGGTGAGGCCAGATCTCATCAGTTGACCCTTGAGCAACATGGGTCTGAACTGCTCGGGTCCACTTTTATGCAGATTGAAAAAAGTAAAGGTTACACAGAGCATGCCTGCCTCTCCTGCTTTGCCTTTTACCTCCTCCACCTCTGGCACCCTGAGACAGCAAGACCAAACCCTCCTCTTCTTTCTGCACCTCTGCCTACTCAGAATGAAGACAAGGATGAAGACCTTTATGATGATCCACTTCCACTTAATGAATAGTAAATATATTTTCTCTTTTTTAGAATTTTCTTAATATTTTCTTTTTTTTTTTTTTTTGAGACGAAGTCTCGCTCTGTCACCCAAGCTGGAGTGCAGTGGCGCGATCTTAGCTCACTGCAAGCTCCGCCTCCCGGGTTCACGCCATTCTCCTGCCTCAGCCTCCCCGGTAGCTGGGACTACAGGTGCCTGCCACCACGCCCGGCAAATTTTTTGTATTTTTAGTAGAGATGGGGTTTCACCGTGTTAGCCAGGATGGTCTCGATCTCCTGACCTGGTGATCCGCCCGCCTTAGCCTCCCAAAGTGCTGGGGTAACAGGCATGAGCCATCACGCCCGGCCAATATTTTCTTTTCTCTAGCTTAATTCATCATAGGAATACAGAATATAATACATATAGCGTATAAAATATGTGTTAATTGACTATGTTATTGGTAAGGCTTCCAGTCAACTACGAGTAATGTTTTTTTTAAATCCTGAGACAGTGTCTTGCTCTGCCAGCTGGGCTGGGGTGCAGGGGCATGATCTTAGTTCGCTGCTGCCTCAACCTCCTTGACTCAAGCAGTCCTCCCACCACAGCCTCCCAAGTAGCTGGAACTACGGGCACACACCACCACACCCAGTTAATTTTTCTGTTTTCTGTAGAGTCTGGGTTTTGCCGTGTTGCCCAGGCTGGTCTTGAACTCCTGGGCTCAAGTGCTCTGCCCACCTCAGCTTCCCAAATCCCACCTGGGGTTACAGGTGTGAGCCACGGTGCCTGGCCTAGTAGTTAAGTTTTGGGGAAGTCAAAAGTTATATGCAGATTTTCTTTCTTGATTTTTTTTTTTTTTTTTTTGAGGCAGTCTTGCTCTGTCGCCCAGGATGGAGTGCAGTGGTGCGATCTCGGCTCACTGCAATCTCCACGTCCTGGGTTCAAGCGATGCTCTTGCCTCAACCTCCTAAGTAGCTGGGATTACAGGCACCTGCCACCACGCCTGCCTAATTTTTGTATTTTTAGTAGAGACCAGGTTTTGTCATGTTGGCCAGGCTGGTCTCGAACTCCTGACCTCAGTTGATCCGCCGGCCTTGGCCTTCCACATAGTGCTGGGATTACAGGCGTGAGGCACCGCGCCCAGCCTATATGGAGGTTTTCGGCTGAGCTGGGGGTCAGTGCCCCTCGCCCCCAGACTGTACAGAGTCAGCTGTGTTAAGATATTAAGCACCTTCAGTACACAAGACTCTGTGCTGGTTTTCTTTTCTTTTTTTTTTTTTTTTACTCTAAATCATCAAACCCTATGAGGAAAGTCCTGTTACTTTCTCCCATTTAGCACTCTTGAAGAGGCTAATTTGCCTAAGATCAAGAGCTCGTCAGTGACTGCTGAGGTTCAAACGCAGATCTTTTTTAAGACTTGAGAACCTACAGGTTCAACCACCATTATAAAACCATCTCTGTAATCACGAGGCACCCGGAATTTGTGGAGCTTGGACTTCATCCTGAAGGGAGTGAAAACTTATGGAAGTTTTTTCCTTCCACGTTTCCCCCTTCCAGATGAATAATATACGCGTGTTCAAGATACAAAAATGCATAAAATTTGGCCAGGCATGGTGGCTTACACCTGTAATCCCAGCACTTGGGGAGGCTGAGGCGAGTGGATCACTTGAGCCCAGGAGTTCAAGACCAGCCTGGGCAATATGGCAAAACCCCGTCTCAAAACAACAAAACAAACAAACAAAAAACCCATAAAACTGAACAAGGTAGTTTGTAAGATATGGAAGTACAATGCAGATGACAATAATGACGATGGTAGCTACCACTAGGCGCTTTATTTATGCCACTCTCCTCAACACTGGATAGACTCTCACTTAATCCTCACAAGCTTATGAGGTAGGCGCTACCATCATTCGCCGTTTTACAGAGGAGGACGCTGAGGCACAGAGTGATTGAGAAACTTGTCGAAGGCACTGCAGCTGGCAAGTGGTGACGTGGCATTTGAATCCAGGCATCCGGATGGTGTGGATGCCGTGGAAGAGAAAGGGGCGGGTGGGACTGCTTCCTGAGGAGATAGTGACTGCCGAGGCAGCAGCGTAGGGAAGACAACTGAAGAACACGAGCTGTGGAGACAGACCATCGCATTCGGAGTGGAGAGATGGGTGTACAGACAGACAATAACCAGACTATATATAAAAAGAGAACTCTAGGTCAGGCGCGGTGGCTCACACCTGTAATCTTAGCACTTTGGGAGGCTGAGGCGGGTGGATCACTTGAGGTCAGGCGTTGGAGACCAGGAGTTCAAAACCCCGTCTCTACTAAAAATTTAAAAATTAGCCGGGCATGGTGGTGGGCGCCTGTAGTCCCAGCTTCTCGGGAGGCTGAGGCACGAGAATCGATTGAACCCGGGAAGCGGAGGTTGCAGTGAGCCGAGATCGCACCACTGCACTCCAGCCTGGGTGACGAGAGCGAAAAACTCCGTCTCAAAAATAAAATAAATTACTGATAATAGTACTAATACCCCTTAAGTGGCTATTGATAATAATAGTACCATGGGTGGGGGGGCAACTTCTCTGAGAGTGCTCTGTAAGTATGTATTGAAGATTGAGTAAATACATTTAAAATTCTTAGAACAGTATGTGGCACATAGCGTTCCAGAATGCCACATTATTGTTAGTGACAGAAATAATCTCGGCTGGGCGCGGTGGCTCACGCCTGTAATCCCAGCACTTTGGGGGGGCCACGGCGGGAGGCTCTCTCGAGGCCGGGAGTTCAAGACCAGCCTGGGCAACATGGCAAGACGCCGACTGTTAAAAAAAAAAAAATGCTACCCGGGCGTCGTGGCGTGTGCCTGTAATCCCAGCTACTGGGGAGGAGGTGGGAGGATCGCTCGAGCCCGAGAGGTTGGTCGGGGCCTCAGTGAGCCGAAATCACGCCACTGCACTCCAGCCTGGGCGACGGAGCGAGACCCTGTCTCAGAAAGAAAAAGAAAAACCACCGTCCAGGGGCGGAGAAGGAAGGTTCTCCCTACTTCTCAGGTTTCCACTCCCTGGCCGGAAAAAACCTAGTCCTCCCAGGTTAGCACGCCGCTCTAGCCCAGCCTCACGTCTCCACTGCTTCTCAGCCAGCCAACGCCTCTTCTGATTGGCTCTGACGTGCGTGGTGCGTGAAAACGTCACGAGACGCCGGCGTTACTATAAGAGCGCAGCCGTGGCGCTTGCGCGCCTCTTTCTCAGTGACCGGGTGGTTTGCTTAGGTGAGGTGCGGCGGTGTGCTTTTTCTCTAGGGTTTGGGTTGGATGGTGGCCCGGGCCTTCCGAGTTTCCATGAGTAAGCTAAAGACGTTAGGAAACAGAGCAGGGTGGTTGAACGGGAGTGCAGCACGGTTGTGGGGGCAGATACTGACTATGAGAGCGTTGGAGGTTATTCTCGCGAGATCGGATCTGGGCTCCGCGAGGTTTTGGCGTAGTTGTGGGACTGCGCAGGCGCCGTTTGGAGCCCTTACGCTCACACTTCTCTCCCGCGCAGGCGCAGACGGGGAAGCGGAGCCAACATGCCAGTGGCCCGGAGCTGGGTTTGTCGCAAAACTTATGTGACCCCGCGGAGACCCTTCGAGAAATCTCGTCTCGACCAAGAGCTGAAGCTGATCGGTGAGTGGCCAAGGCTTCCGGGAAGTGGTTCGGCTTCCGGGAGGCGGTTAGCACGTGGATGAAGGTGCCCATGTACTCTATCTAGTCCGTCCCCTAAATTTGGTACTATTCGTGGTTTAGGAAGGTTTTGTGATTCCAAAGCTGCCAGTCTAGTTGTTGTGCCAGTACGTGGGACTACACTTGTCCACCCCCTTCTCCCCACCAGGCGAGTATGGGCTCCGGAACAAACGTGAGGTCTGGAGGGTCAAATTTACCCTGGCCAAGATCCGCAAGGCCGCCCGGGAACTGCTGACGCTTGATGAGAAGGACCCACGGCGTCTGTTCGAAGGTGCGTATGGGAGTCCACAGCAGAGGGATGGGGTGCAGGGCTTGTGAGGTTCATTCTCCCTTCTGTTGCCTCTGTTCCAGTGATGAGAGTTGTGTCATTGGATAAATGGAACCAGCCTTCTAACTTTTAGTGGCACTTGTGAAGTAGGAAAAGTGTATCTGGATCAGTCTTTGCCCTGTTTCTTAGGTGTGTGGCTTTTTTGCCCAGTTATTGGACCTTCAGTTTAGTAATGACCAGAGCTAAAGATAGGCCTGGCACACCTGGGCACCCGTCTATATCTTTATATTCTGTTTATGTGGCCTGTTTGCTAGTGGATGAGAGTAGACTATGAAGTGGAATTTCTGGGCTAAGTGATGGTGATAACAGGGTTTGCACATTTGCTTGGTTTATTGTTTTTTTAATTAAGTTTTCTCGTTTTATTTAGTCTTTTGAGACGGAGTCTTGCTCTGTTGCCCAGGCTGGAGTGCCGTGGCGCCATTTCGGCTTACTGCAACCCCCGCCTCCTGGGTTCAAACAATTCTCCTATCTTAGCCTCCCAAGTAGCTGGGACTACAGACAGGCGCACGCCACCACACCTGGCTAATTTTACTTTTGAGACGGAGTCTCGCTCCATTGCCCATGCTGGAGTGTAGTTGTCGCAATCTTGGCTCACTGCAAACTCCGCCTCCAGAGTTCAAGCGATTCTCCTGTCTTAGCCTCCTAAGTAGCTGGAATCACAGGCATGGGCCACCAAGCCTGGCTAATTTTCTATTATTAGTGGAGATGGGTTTTCACCATGTTGTCCAGGCTGGTGCTTGTTTTTTTAAGCTGGTCAAGGACATTTAGGTGGTATTTAGCAAAGGCCTGAACAGGAGAGAACCTGTAAAATGTCTCAGGGAACAGCATTTCAGGTGATGACTTTAGGAGGGCATGCAGATCACATAGACTTAGGCTTACTTTACTAATTGTGGTGAAATACACATTAAATTGAAAATGTACCATCTTAACCATCTTGTTTTAAAATCTACTCTGAGATGCGGTGTTATTGGAGTGCTTTCTACAGCAGATTGGCATGACCAAGATTGGCATTTGTATATCCTGAGACGCTGCTTTTGCCTGAGTTTGGGTAGTCATGATTTATGGTGAAAAGCAGTCTCTACACCTGAGCCCTGACTGTTAGGCATGAGAGTGGTCATCCATGTTAGGCGTTGAGAAAGTCCTGGCGCATGTTTAGCTACAGATTATCACAGTTTGTCCCAGGCTTGCAGATGTTAGAAGCTTTTTCTTTAAATAGGCACAGGATCTTGCAGTGTTGACCAGGATGGTTTCCAACTCCTAACCTCAAGTGATCCATCCACCTCAGCTTTCCAAAGTGCTGGGGTTACAGGTGTAAGCCACCGCACCTGACCCTTTCATTCTTTTCGTCAATTTGTAGACCCCGTTGATAATCTCATGAAAGTGCTGGAGATCCCTCCCCCATAGATACTGATGCTGGGTGGGAATTCATCCCAGGGTTCTGTGGGGAGTGGGCTATAGCTGGTTCTGGTTTTAGGGAGGACTTTCTGGACATAGATCCTAATTGCAATGAAACTTACAGTCATGTGAGAAAGCGGTGCAGGTGTCTGAGGGTTATTTGTGGTTTTCCAAGGCAGAAGTGAAAATTCCCAAGGGGTACACAGTTGTTCAGGTGAGTACACTTTCTAGTAAATGAAGCCATCTAGCCTAGTCAGGGACAGGAAGGAGGAGCTTGGATGTTTGCTCTTTGGTGTAATCCTGCCTTGATTCAGATCCAGCCTTTCCCACTAAGATGTGTGACTAGCGAGATTCTGAGTCTCGTCTGTTAAGACTGAACAGCCGCCAACATTTGGCTGGCAGTTAATAATCAACAGATAGAGGCCAGGCGTGGTGGCTCATGCCTGTAATCCCAGCACTTTGGGAGACCGAGGTGGTCGGATCACTTGAGGTCAGGAGACCTCAAGTCAGAGACCAGCCTGGCCAACGTGGTGAAATTCCATCTCTACGAAAAATACAAAAATTAGCCGAGCATGGTGGTGTGCCTATAATCCCAGCTACTCGGGAGGCTGAGGCAGGAGAATTGATTGAACCTGGGAGACAGAGACTGCAGTGAGCCGAGATCCGCGGCACTGCACTGGGTGACAGCGAGACACAAAACAACACGAACTCCCCCCCCACCCCCCAGCACAACTGTGAAGAAATGTAGGAGTCATGTCCATTTTTCAGATCAGAAATGAAGGCATTGTAATACCTAACTGCCTTGTATGATGACAAGGACCTGTTTCCCACTGAGGTCCTCCCTGGTTTGCATTTTTAAAGCATTTTAAATTCTCTTGGTGCATTGGCCCAGTGGAGCCTCAGCAGTAGGACATGCTTTTGTTGAAGGTGTAAGGTTTATTGTGCTGTTGAAAACTATTGTCTTCATACTTAAAGGTTTTGCCTGTGGCTGACTCTCCTGTTCTTTTTCAGGAGATAGATGGTTCAATAAATGTGGGCCTGAGTGCAGTGGCTCATGCCTGTAATCCCAGCACTTTGGGAGGCAGAGGCAGGCGGATCACCCGAGGTCGGGAGTTTGAGACTAGCCTGACCAAAGTGGAGAAACCCCTTAGTCTCTACTGAAAAAATACAAAATTAGCGGGGCGTGGTGGCGCATGCCTGTAATCCCAGGCTGAGGCAGGAGAATCCCAGGAGGCGGAGTTTGCAGTGAGCCGAGATCACGCCATTGCACTCCAGCCTGGGCAACGAGAGCGAAACTCTGTCTCAAAAATGATAATAAATGTGAAACATTTTTTTAAAATCATGCCTTTGTTTTGCCTAATGGTGACGATCTCACTTTGTCTCCCGGGCTGGAGCACAGTGGCATGGTCGTGGCTCACTGCAGCCTGGACCTCCTGTGCTTAAGTGATCCTCCTCAGCTCTAGTAGCTGGGACCACAATCCACCATGTACCACCATGCCCAGCTAATTTAGTTTTACTTTTTTGTTTGTTTTGGTACAAATGCGGTCTCACTGTGTTGCCGAGGCTAGTTTCAAACTTCTGGACTCAACTGATCCTCCTGCCTCAGCCTCCCAAAATATTGGGTTTATAGGCCAGGCATAAGGGACTGTGCGTGGCTTAAGTTTCCATTTTCTAATGTAAAGACAAAAAGGCGTGAAGTGTCCAAAGAGGTAAATGATCCCAAACTCATTTTCATTGCCTTTTGGACATGTTTTTGTATTTTGATATTCAGGTGTTTAAATATCCTCTGATGTTGAGTTAAAAAAGAACAAAAATTGAAGCCATAGTATGACATAGGATGCTGGAAATGCACACAGCTGGTGTTTCCATTTTGATTCTCCCTACCTGTAACTGCTCCCTACTGGGAAAACTTTGGGTCCTCACAAAGTGAGCTAGCTTTCTTTCAAACTTTGCTTGGAGGGTAACAGTGCCAGGAATATCAGAAGTGCCTGATGCATGTAGATCTATTTATGAAAGCTTGCTTGAATGGTTTGCTGTAACTAGTAAGAGCCACTTTTTATAAAAGTGCACATAAGGAAAAAAGGTTGAGGTGTTTACCCCAGTCAAGGGGCAGTTGATTTGCTGAAGGCGTGTGGGATTATAGCAGTGAGCGGGAGCCTAGGGGATGGCGTTTGCCCCCAGGGCCCTGGGGCTGTGGGCAAGGGCAGTCCAGAGTATTAGCTAGAAGCCATGGCTTTGGACAGGGTAAGGAGCAAGCCGTCCTGAGCCTGGGGTTGGAAGAAAGGTGTAGTAGGGCATCTGTTGGATATTTTATGCAGTGCATTGTTAGGTTATATACATACTAGATCTATTTTTGGTGGAAAATTTTGTACAGAATAGTAAAATGAATGACATGTACTTAGCTGGAAAAATTCTAGTGTTAGAAATTACTTTTCTCTCCTTAAAAGATGTAGATACTGCTATTTATGGCACGGAATGTGATTCAATCTCACATCTGCTTAATCAGAAGAGCTTTCTGGGCTGAGGATATGAACTCTTCAGCACTGTGCTTTGTTACGGTGGTAGTAGCTTAATAGCAGCTGCATTTGGTCTTTTGCAGACTGAGTCCTTGTAAGGAGGTGATTTCCTTTACTCTTGCTAAGAATGTGGAGCGAGGGATGTATGCTCTCAGATGAGGAGGCAGGTGTATTTTGCCCTCCTGTCATCTGCAGTTTACTATGAATGATGACCTGACAACCATAGGGTAGTTTGGTTTTTTGTATTGTTTTGTTTTGTGACAGGGCCTCACTCTGTCGCCCAGGCTGGAGTGCAGTGGCCCCATCTCAGGTCACTGCAACCTCCGCCTCCTGGGTTCAAGCAGTTTTCCTTCCTCAGCCTCCTGAATAGCTGGGATTACAGGCAGTGCGCCAACGGCCTGGCTAATTTTTCGTAATCTTAGTGGAGACGGGCTTTCGCCATGTTGGCCGGGCTGGTCTCTCAAACTCCTGACCTCAAGTGATCCGTCTCGGACTCCCGAAGTGCTGGGATTACAGGTGTGAGCCACCACTCCCAGCCCGTAGGGTGGTTTTGACAGTGACATGGGTCACGGTGATGGCGCTGTACTACTTGTGCCTCACCGCCGCGGCATGGAGCTACCAAGAGGCGGAGCCAGGATTTGAACCCAAGAAGCCTGAGGTCAGAAGGCGGAATCAGTGTTTCCTCCCACTCTTCCCAGGCAACGCCCTGCTGCGGCGGCTGGTCCGCATTGGGGTGCTGGATGAGGGCAAGATGAAGCTGGATTACATCCTGGGCCTGAAGATAGAGGATTTCTTAGAGAGACGCCTGCAGACCCAGGTCTTCAAGCTGGGCTTGGCCAAGTCCATCCACCACGCTCGCGTGCTGATCCGCCAGCGCCATATCAGGTACCACCTCGGATGGGCACCTGAATCTTCCTCCACCTGCCCCTCTGATGGTTGCCCTCACTAAGCCTGCTGTCCCTATCTCCTATGCAGCCCTCGGAGGTGATGGGTGTGAACTCACCCAGAGGGTACAGATTCACCCTTGCACACAGCTCACCAGGGAGCTGGGGCAGCCTCTTGCCCCAATAGCCCAGCGCAAGGGTCACTGCGGCTCTAGCCGTACACCTTGTGAAGGCCTCTGCCAGGCATGTGGGCAGCTGGACAGGTAACAGCTCTTGGTGTCCCCAGTGGAGGGAGAGAACCAGCCTCACCTCGCTTGGGTGGTGGGTTCAGCTGTCTCCTGGCTCGCTTGTGAAGTTGATTCCAGACCCCGATCCATGACTGCGTTCTGGGTACTCAGTGTGCCCTTTCTGTAATGTGGCACCATTGAGGGGGAGGAGCTGTACAGAAAGAGGGCAAGATGTTTGCGTTTAGAATCTTCGCCCCAGCCCTTCACTAACCCTGTGAGCCGTAGGCAGAGCCTTGTGTGTCAATGCTTTCGTCGGAGACGTAGCCTCGGGTTGCTGTGTTATTGTGGGCATTGCTGCTGCACGTGGTAATACAGCTCAGTGTCAGGTGTGGGGTTCACGATATTTCAGACTCGGAACTTGGGGGCTCTCACATGGCCATCTCATTTGCTTTGTGGTCTTAGGTGGGATACTTTCAGATTTCTCCTATAAAATGGGGTTGAGAAAGTCATCTGAAGCATTTTTGGGGATTAAGGTGATACCCTAAAACCCCGGAGGGCGCACGTAGGATCAGGTGCACCCTTCCTGCAGCGCCTTGGTGTCTGCAGCCGTGGCGGCCTCACGGGGTGGGTGGAGAGGAAAGAGTGGTGCGGTAGCTGGGGTTAGCGTCCGTTTCTCCTCCAGTCCACCTCACCTTGTCGCTTCTTCCAGGGTCCGCAAGCAGGTGGTGAACATCCCGTCCTTCATTGTCCGCCTGGATTCCCAGAAGCACATCGACTTCTCTCTGCGCTCTCCCTACGGGGGTGGCCGCCCGGGCCGCGTGAAGAGGAAGAATGCCAAGAAGGGCCAGGGTGGGGCTGGGGCTGGAGACGACGAGGAGGAGGATTAAGTCCACCTGTCCCTCCTGGGCTGCTGGATTGTCTCGTTTTCCTGCCAAATAAACAGGATCAGCGCTTTACAATTGGTGTGTGGGGGTCTCTCATCCTTGACTCTTTCCCCTGCTCTAAACATGCAGCCTTCCCTGGGAGGCTCACTCACTTGGGAGTGCCTACCAGCTAGTGGTCCCTGGCCTCTCAGTACTATTCTACAGTAGTGAACACACATCTTTACCAGAAACTTCTGTCATCAGGGGAGAGACGAGTGGTATTTTTGGAAAAACTGTGTCAAAACCAGAAGGAAATTCCAAGTAAGCCGGTGTTTGCATATAGGGGTGGGAGGGAGCCGGTCATTGCTAGGCAGGGCAGGCGCCGAGTGGAGGTGGGGGCCTTCCCTGCCTGCTGGCCCTGGGACCCTGACCCCGCCAGGCAAGAGACAGGTGGGACGGGAGCTGACCAGAGGCTGACGGGTTGCTGGGGAAGGTGAACTGTTGGTGATTGTTGGGGAACACTTCACAGAATTTGCTTGCTAGTTTCAAAGCTTGTGATGCGGTTGATGTTGGGCAAGTTCCCAGTTTTGTCTTCACATGTAGGGGAAGTGGGTTAGCGTAGGAGAAGGGGCGTTGAGGGAAGTCTGTTCCTCCTCTCCGCGTTCAGTGCTTCTGTGGACTCACGGTCAAGAGGTTGGCAGGCTTCCCTTTTCTCAGCCTTGTTGATCATCTGTGTTGGGAAGGGGTTTGGTTTCTGAGGAAGTGAGAAACCTGAAATTGTGCAACCCCCTCAGGCTGCAGGCTGTAGTTGATTGGGTCCTTATCTGGAGGCCTTCAGGGTTTGAGGTCAGGGCAGGGACAGTTCTGGAACACAGCTAAGTTACTGTAAACCACGTGGAGAAGTCCATTGCGGCTTACTCAAGCTAGGTGGTTGGCCCTTCCTTCCCTCAGCGTTGCTACTTGGGAAATGACGGTGGTCTTGTGTCCATGGGGCCAGCTGCTGCACCATCTGGGCTCACTGTGGTCTCCTTCCTTGGAGCGTGGGGTCTGGGCTAGTGGATGGCCGGGGCAGCGTACTCACTGGGCTCCTGGGAGCTCCCCTGGGAGGAAGAGACTGCAGTTGTCTCTGGTCTGAGAGGTGGTGGCTCACCTGGGTGTAGCTCACAATTGCGGAGCTCCACGGCAGCCTGGAGGGAGGGGAGAGTGGGAGTTGAGGTATGCGGTTCTGGGGAGAAGCCTACGGGCTTGGAAAGGAAAAGGGTCTTCAGGGCTCTGTCTACAGAGGCAGCGAGCGGGGCAACAGAGGGAGACTCCATCTCAAGAATTTGTAGAGATGGAGTCTCAATGTGTTGCCCCGGCTGATCTAAAACCCTTGGCCTCAAGCAATCCACTCGCCTCCCAAAGCGCTAGGATGACAGGTGTGAGCCACAGTGCCTGGCCTGCGTGGGTCTGTTTAATCTCCGGGCCTCTTGCTCTCCCTTTCTTGGTGATCTCCTTGGACCACATCCCTGTATCATTCTCTCTCTCGACCCTGAGCCCAGGGTCCAGAGCAGAGAACGGGATGGGGTCTGGGTAGGGGCCCCTCACTTGCAACCAGGATGTTGGGTGGGGGCGACGGGGGACCGACCTTGGGCAGGAGGCATTGTGTCCACCGCAGCATCTGTGCTGGCCCCCAGGGGGGTGGCTCGCATGGCCCAGGGGGACGTCCAGGAGGTGCTGCCCATCTAGGCGCTGGCGGGCTGGGAGCCCCTTGTCCTGGTCAATGCAGAGCTGTCAAAACCGGCCTCTGAGTGATGCTGAGGGGTCAGGCTGTCTCCAGAGAGCACCGGCGATCCCGGCTGTGCTGAGAGGGAGGGCTGAGGGCTGCCTGGACGCCCCTGAGATGAGGCGACTGGTATTTAGGGGATGCGTACTCTCTGGGGCCCGCTGGGGCCTGCAGGGAGAGCTCTCACCGGTCTCAACTCCATGCCTTCTGCCTTGTGCTTCTGGCCCAAGAGGTCGGGGTCACTGACCACCCCGTGTCCACCTAAGGCTTCCCTGGACACACAGCAGGGAGATGGGCAATGAGGGTGGGGGTTGTGGCCCTGCCTGTCACGGTCCCCAGCAGTGCAGATGAATTAGACCATTGAGCCACAGAGCCTGGAGGGCAGATGGGTGTGCTGGTATAAGGAGCCCCGGGCTCTGTGTTACAGGTCATGTGTTCTCACCAGTGGCCTTGCAGGAGGGGAACAGCCCCTTCCCCAGGGCCTCGCTCTGCTCCCCCTGAAGGATGGGGCTGAGGGGACAGCAGGCTCTGGGGGCCTTTCAGACCACATTTGAGTCAAAATTTGACTTCCCCATACTCTGCCTGCTTCCACCTCACCCAACTCTCATCCAGGGGTGACCCTTGTTCTAGCACATGAGGCTGAGGCCAGAGAGGGCAGGGCCTTAGGACACAGCCCAGTCACTGTTCTAATTCTAGAGGCAAGCCCCTTCCATGTCCTGAGCTCTGTAATGCATCTTTTCTTTCATGAGCCTTGCGATCAGGCGATGTTTATTCAGTGGTTACCACATCCAGGCATGCTGCCAGGAGGAGGGGAGTCGTGGGTGAAGCTGATAGGATTCCTGCTGGACTCACAGAGCCTGGGTTAATGACACATTACCCATGTTTAGATAGGAGGTAATTCTGCTCCGGTTTCGACAAGTTGTAGGAAAGGAGGAAAACATGCTCATAGCAGGTGAGCAGCGTACACCTGTCATGGGAGTGAGGGGTCCTTCTGGGGGATGGAGAGACCAAGACGTGAACAGTGAGTGTGGCACGCAGAGTGTCCTCCACCAGAAACAGTGTGGGCTGTTCTCAGACCTGAGAGTGAGCCAAAGGAAGCTGGGACCTTGTCATTCAGGGGACTTGTGCACCGTGAAGATTTATTGGATGCTATGTTTAAGAAAATGGAAAATCCGGCCCGGCACGGTGGTTTGCACCTGTAATCCCAGCACTTTGGGAGGCGGAGGTGGGTGGATTATGAGGTCAGGAGTTCGAGACCAGCCTGGCCAACATGGTGAAACCCCGTCTCTACTAAAGACACAAAAAATCAGCCAGGTGTGGTGGTGGACGCCTGTAATCCCAGCTACTCGGGAGGCTGAGGCAGGAGAATCACTTGAACCCGGGAGGTGGAGGTTGCAGTGAGCCGAGATTGCGCCACAGCACTCCAGCCTAGGTGACAGAGTGAGACTCCATCTCAAAAAAAAAAAAAAAAAAACCGGGGAATCTTTAGAAAGCACAGTGGAAACAGATGTCTGTTTTTACAAGCCCATCACTGCACAGAATGCAATATGGGAGGGTTTCACTAATGGTTAACCATAACCACACTCCAGCGTGAGCCCAGCCACTAGGCAATGTGCTGATAAGGATTCTAAGTGGTTTATGTGGACTCCTCATGACCTATGACACACATACGTTTACAGTGGAGTGGAACGAGGCAGGAGGGCTTCTCTTTGTCATAGTCTACCAGCTCTGCAGAGGTGTCAGCTACATCCGGATTGGCTCAGGGAGCGGCCGTCAGAAGACTTACACGTGTTTAATAACTGAGGTTGTGTGTGTGTGGCAGGGGGTGGGTAACTGTGATGAGTTTGGTGTGGCAGAGGGGGAGCCATAGCCTGTGAAGCTGGAAAGTGTATCAGGTTTGGTCATCAACAGGCTTGAACATGAAGTACAGGAACGTGCATCTTATTTTTGGAAGATGGAGCCCCGTTGGGGGAATTTGAGCAGTGGAGGGTCACAGCCAGGTAAGATGGTCAGAAGAGGCCTCGGAAGTGATGAGAGGGATGGACTGGAGTAGGGATGGGAGCCAGTAGGGGGCCAGGAGGGAGGTTGGTGCAGTGCACAGACAGGGCGTCCTCGGTCCCCAGCTGAGCTTAGACTGTGGGGATGGACCAGCGGACACGGGTGGAGCCGGGTGAGGAGGGATGTGGGCAGAGAGGTTTGGATTTGTTCACTGTGTGTGAAGCAGAAGAGTGTGAGGAGCTTTTCCACTCTCTGCCTTGGTTGATGGGAGGAACCAGTGGGGCTGCCGCAGGACAGACGACCCGCGTGGGAGAAGGAGGCTCGGGGAGATGTTTCTAAGACTTAACTTGCTCACAGAGGGAAGCACAAGCTTCCTTCGAGCCTGGGCTTTGTTTTCCCAAACAGGTCCCTTCACTGACTTTCTTTTTTGAGACGGAGTCTCGCTCTGTCGCCCAGGCTGGAGTGCAGTGGCGCGATCTCGGCTCACTGCAAGCTCCGCCTCCCGGGTTCACGCCATTCTCCTGCCTCAGCCTCCCGAGTAGCTGGGACTACAGGCGCCCGCCACCACGCCCGGCTAATCTTTTGTATTTTTAGTAGAGACGGGGTTTCACCGTGCTAGCCAGGATGGTCTCGATCTCCTGACCTCGTGATCCACCCGCCTCGGCCTCCCAAAGTGCTGGGATTACAGGCGTGAGCCATCGCGCCCAGCCAACTTTCCTGTTAATGAGTAGCACTCTTTTTTTCTTTCTTTTCTTTCCCCCTTTTTTTTTTTTTTTAGACATGGTCTTGCTCTGTTTCCCAGGCTGGAGTGCAGTGGCGTGACCCCAGCTCACTACAACCTCCACCTCCTGGGTTCAGGTGATTGTCCTGCTTCAGCCTCCCAAGTAGCTGGATTACAGGCACGTGCAACCACGCCTGGCTAATTTTTGTATTTTTAGTAGAGACAGAGTTTCACCATGTTGGCCAGGCTATTCTCGAACTCCTGACCTTAAATCATCCTCTTGCCTTGGCCCCCCAAAGTGTTAGGATTACAGGCATGAGCCATCATGCTCGGCCTCTTTTTTCTTTTTCTTTTTTTTTTTTTTTGTTTTTGAGACAGAGTCTTGCTCTGTCACCCAGGCTGGAGTGCAGTGGCGTGATCTCAGCTCACTGCAGCCTCCACCTCCCAGGTGCCAGCGATTCTCCTGCCTCAATCTCCCAGTTAGCTGGGATTACAGATGCGCGCCACCATATCCAGCTAAATTTTGTATTTTTTAGTAAAGACAGAGTTTTACCATGTTGGCCAGGCTGGTCTTGAACTCCTGACCTCAGGTGATCCGCCCGCTTCAGCCTCCCAAAGTGTTGGGATTACGGGCATGAGCCACCATGCTCGGCCTCTTTTTTCTTTGCTTAAAAGATGAGGCCTGTTGCCCAGGCTGGAGTGCAGTGGCACTATCATAGCTCACTGCAGCCTTGACATCGTGGCTCAGGTGATCCTCCCGCCTCAGGCTCCCGAGTGGCTGGGACTACAGACGTGCACCTCCACAGCCACTACTTATTTTTGTAGCGATGTCTATCAGCTGGTGAATAGAGAAAGTGTGGTATATCCTTACAACAAAATATTATTCAACCGTAGAAAGGAATGAAGTACTCATACATGCTACATGTGTGAACCTTGATAATATACTAGATAAAAGCAGTCAGGAAAAAAAGGTCACATATGACGTTATTTCATTTATAAGAAGTATCCAGCCTGGGTGTGGTGGCTCATTGCCTGTAATCCAGCACTTTGGGAGGCCAAGGCAGGTGGATTGCCTGAGTTTAGGAGTTTGAGACCAGCCTGGGCAACATGGTGAAATACCATCTCTACCAAAAATACAAAAAATTCACCCGGCATGGTGGCATGTGCCTGTGATCCCAGCTACTTGGGAGGCTCAGGTGGCAGGATCGCTTGAGCCTGGGAGGCAGAGGTTACAGTGAGCCGAGATCACACCACTGCACTCCAACCTGGGTGACAGAGTGAGTCCCTGTCTCAAAAAAAAAAAAAAAAGGTATTCAAAGAAGGCCAATCGATAGAGGCAGAAAGTAGGTTAATTGTTGCATGGGATTAGGTGGGAGTGATTGCTTGATGTAAACTCGGTTTCCTTCTCGGTATGATAAAAATGTTTCGGAATGAGATAGAGGTGATGCTTACACCATATTGTGAATTTACTAAATGCCACAAAATAGAGTTGTATCTCAATAAAAATATATTTGTTGGGCCGGGTGCGGTGGCTCACGCCTATAATCCCAGCACTTTGGGAGGCAGGCAGATCAAGAGGTCAGGAGTTCAAGACCAGCCTGGCAAAACCCTGTCTCTACTAAAAATATAAAACTTAGCCAGGCGTGGTGGCATGTGTCTGTAATCCCAGCTACTCGGGAGGCTGAGGTAGAATGGAGCGAGACTCCGTCTCAAAAAAAAATATATATATATGTAAATATATATATGTTGGGCATAGTGGTGCACACATGTAGTCCCAGCTACTTGGGAGGCTGAGGCAGGAGAACCACTTGAACCTGGGAAGCGGAGGTTGCAGTGAGCCGAGACTGCACCATTGCACTCCTGCCTGGGCAAAAAGAGTGAAACTCCATCTCGAAAAAAAAAAAAACCACACACACACACGTAGATAAAATCAAATATTCTGTATTCCATAAATATGTACAATTATTATTTTTCAATTAAAAACTCTTAAGCTGGGCACAGTGGCTCATGCCTGTAATCCCAACACTTTGGGAGGCGGAGATGGGAGGCTCTTGAGCCCACAAGTTTGAGGCCAGTTTGGGCAACATCGTGAGATCCCATTGCTACAAAAAAATTTAAAATATATTTTTAAAAAACTCTAATACAGTAGTCCCCCTTTATCTGTAATTTTCTTTCTGTGTTTTCAGTTACCTGGTGGTCAACCATGGTCCAAAAATATTAAATAGAAAAGTTAAGGAATCATAAGTTTTTTTTTTTTTTTTTTATTGATCATTCTTGGGTGTTTCTCGCAGAGGGGGATTTGGCAGGGTCATAGGACAACGGTGGAGGGAAGGTCAGCAGATAAACAAGTGAACAAAGGTCTCTGGTTTTCCTAGGCAGAGGACCCTGCAGCCTTCCGCAGTGTTTGTGTCACTGGGTACTTGAGATTAGGGAGTGGTGATGACTCTTAACGAGCATGCTGCCTTCAAGCATCTGTTCAACAAAGCACATCTTGCACCGCCCTTAATCCATTTAACCCTGAGTGGACACAGCACATGTTTCAGAGAGCACAGGGTTGGGGGTAAGGTCACAGATCAACAGGATCCCAAGGCAGAAGAATTTTTCTTAGTACAGAACAAAATGAAAAGTCTCCCATGTCTACCTCTTTCTACACAGACACCGCAACCATCCGATTTCTCAATCTTTTCCCCACCTTTCCCCGCTTTCTATTCCACAAAACCGCCATTGTCATCATGGCCCGTTCTCAATGAGCTGTTGGGTACACCTCCCAGACGGGGTGGCGGCCGGGCAGAGGGGCTCCTCACTTCCCAGTAGGGGCGGCCGGGCAGAGGCGCCCCTCACCTCCCGGATGGGGCGGCTGGCCTGGCGGGGGGCTGACCCCCCCACCTCCCTCCCGGACGGGGCGGCTGGCCGGGCGAGGGGGGAATCATAAGTTTTTAACAAATCAAAATATTTCTAAAAACCTAGAGTAGGCAGGAAAGGGGAAACAACACACAGCAGAGGAGACAAACAAAAAGGCACACCTGAACACAGTCATGCACCGCATAACGATGTTTCGCTCCACTACACATTTCATATGTGATGGTATAGCCTATGTATGTAGTAGGTTATACCACGTAGGTTTGTGTAAGTAGACTCTATGATGTTCACACGACGGTGAATTTTTTTTTTTCTTTTTTTTGAGATGGAGTCTCATTCTGTCTCCCAGGCTGGAGTGAAATGGCACGATTTTGGCTCACTGCAACCTCCGCCTCCCAGGTTCAAGCGATTCTCCTGCCTCAGCTTCCCAAGTAGCTGGGATTACAGGCATGCACCACGATGCCCGGCTAATTTTTGTATTTTTAGTAGAGACAGGGTTTCACCATGTTGAGCAGGCTGGTCTCGAATTCCCGACCTCTGGTGATCCACCCATCTTGGCCTCCCAAAGTTCTGGGATTACAGGCATGAGCCACCACGCCTGGCCAAAATTTTTTAATGATGGCTTTCTCAGAACATATCCCTGTCATTAAGTGACATACGGTTGTAATGTCATCAGTGATTACATTAAATATAAGTGATCAAAAAGAGATTACAAGATTGGAATTTTTTTTTTTTGAGACAGAGTCTTGCTCTGTTGCCCAGGCTGTAGTGCAGTGGTGTGATCTCGGTTCACTGCAACCACTGCCTCCTGGGTTCAAGCAGTTCTCTGCCTCAGCCTCCCTAGTAGCTGGGATTACAGGTGCCTGCCACCACACCTGGCCAGTTTTTGTATTTTTAGTAGAGATGGGGTTTCACCATCTTGGCCAGGCTAGTCTTGAACTCCTGACCTTGTGATCCACCCGCCTTGGCCTCCCAAAGTGCTGGGATTACAGGCATGAACCCCCGCGCCTGGCCTGTTGTTTATATTTTATCACATTAAAAAAGCAGAAGGATGAAAAATGTATTATGCAAACACTAATCAACAGATAATTTCACTGGCTTGTTAGTTGTTTTGTTTTTTTGAGACAGGGTCTCGTCCAGGCTGAAGTGCTGTGGTGCGATCTCGGCTCATTGCAGCCTCGACCTCCTGTACCCAAGTGATCCTCCCACCTCAGCCTCTCAAGTAGCTGGGACTACAGGTGTGTGCCACCACGCCGGACTGGTTTTATTTTTTGTAGAGATGGGGCCTCACAATGCTGATCTGACTGACTCGAACTCCTGAGCTCAAGCTATCCTCCCCACTTGCCCTCCCAAAGTATTGGGATTACAGGTGTGAGCCACTGCACCTGGTTATGCTTCTTTTTTATTTTTTTTCTTTCTTTTTTTTTTTTTTTCGAGACGGAATCTCACTCTGTCGCCCAGGCTGGAGTGCAGTGGTGCGATCTCAGCTCACTGCAAGCTCTGCCTCCCGGGCTCATGCCATTCTCCTGCCTCAGCCTCCTGAGTAGCTGGGACTATAGGCACTCGCCACCACGCCCGGCTAATTTTTTTGTATTTTTAGTAGAGACGGGGTTTCACCGTGTTAGCCAGGATGGTCTCGATCTCCTGACCTCATGATCCGCCCGCATCAGCCTCCCAAAGTGCTGAGATTATAGGCGTGAGCCACCGCGCCCGGCCTATTTATGCTTCTTAATTTTCCCATGTCATAAGTTCGATGTATAATATTTACATTATCATTCAGTTTAAAACATTCACTGTTTTTTTTTTTAGAGACAAGGTCTCGCTCTGTCACACAGGCTGGAGTGCAGTGGCACAGTCATAGCTCACTGCAGCCTCAGCAGCCTTAACTTCTTGTGTTCAAGGAATCCTCCCCACTCAGCCTCCTGAGTACCACACCCGGCCTTTACGTCTGTTTTTGTTTTTTGTTTTTTTGTTATTAACTCATTGATTGTTGAGAAGTCTGTTGCTTTATTTCCAAAATGGGACGATATTAGTCATCTTTGAGTCAGGTGAGTCCCACAAGTTCCCAGCGTCTCCTCATGGTCTGTGTTAGGGGTCCAGGCTGACTGGGGTTCACTGGTGTCCACTGGGGGCAGCTCCCGTGCCTTCAGCAGTCCTGAGTCTCCTTCTGCTGAGTGTGGGGTCTGCGTACCCCCCGGGCTAGTGGATGGCCAGAGTGGCGTAGATGCTGGGCTCAGCTGGAGGTTCCCCTTCCTGGGATGGAGGAGGCTCAGTTGCCTTCCGTCTAAGGGTCAAGCTGTGCAGCTGGGCGTAGGTCACATCCTGGGAGGCTTCAGATGCAGCAGCCTGCAGCGGGGGAGAGTGAGAGGTAAGGAACGTGGTGGGGGTGGGGGAGGCCTGGGGGCCTGGAGAGGAAAGGACTCACCTCAGTGTCCATCTGCCTGTCCTCTTCCACCTGTCTGTCCTTTGTGTCCAGGAATTCCCCAGACAGTGAGGAGGGAGGAGAGGCCATTTCTCTCCTAGGACTGGAGTGTTTCACCGGGGCATACGTCACTGCCTGGGGGTCTTCATCGTGTGGGCTCTGCTGGAGAGAGACAGTGGTGGGGGGTGTCCTTGAGTCCCCCTGACCTCCTGGAGTCAATTTTCCTCACTGTTCCCGGGGTGATCCGATTACATCCCTTTCCTGATGGAATCTCAGGGACGCCCTAAGGCCGTGGAGGGTCTGGCCGCTCCCTCCCTGTGGTTCTGGCCTCTGCTCCTCACTCTGACCTTGCCCATTTGGCTGCAGCCTCACAGGCCTTCCTGCAAGAGCTCGCTGCTGCCTGGGGGCCTTTGCACGGCTGTTTCCTCTGCCTGCAGGGGCTCGTCTATCAGAGGATCATGTGCCCCACTCTGTCCAGGCTTCTCAGATGACAGCTGAGCAGACAGCCCTCCCCTTCCATTCAGACTGGCCCCACTGCCCCACACTCTCTGCCCTTTCCCTGGTGTATGTTCCTTACAGCACGTTGCACTCCTGGACACGATGCATTTATTTGCATTTTGTCTCCCACCATGAGGTGAGCTCAGGAGGCGGGGGCGGCTTTGCTCCCTGCTGTGTCTGCAGCTCCCATGGGGAGCCCCATCCACAGTGAGCTCCCTGGGAACACTCGCTGGATGAATGAATGAAGAGGAGCCCAGGGGACGGAGGTGGTTCATTTATTCGTCATCCTCCTGAGGCCTGGGGAGAGCTCTAACAACCAGACGGCCAAACAGAGGATGAGGAGCAGGAAGGGGACCCGGGAGGAGGCCCACGAGGTCCCAGGACAGCAGAAGAGAGTGAGGTCACAGCAGGCGGGAGGCAGCATGCTGGACAAGGAGGGGTCCACCGTGACGATGCTGAGAGCCGGGGGAAGGAGGACAGAGAAGTCCTGCAGGATTAGATCTGGCACCAGGAGGCCTTTGGTGCCTGGGACGGGGCGGGATCTCACCTGACTGTCCAGCTCCACCCTGTCCTCAGACTGTGTGTCCTTCACGGCAGCATCTGCTGGGGCAGAGCAAGGGGTTCGTCTCCTGGTTCTCTGAGACCTCTCAGTCCTGCTGGCCCCCTGCCCTGCTCCCAGATGGGGCCACCGAATGCAGGGAGGTCCCACAGTGTGGGGCAAGACCATCTTCCACGGAGCCCCAGACCCTTCCCAGCCCCTCCCTGTTGCTACTGAAATTTTGGGACTCCTGTCTCTCCAGCACCCCCATTTGTCCCCTCTCTTCCTCTTACAGAGGTTTTCTTCCTGGACGTCAGCAGCTGGGCTGGACCTGGAGGAGGACATGGGAGTGTGAGGGGCAGTGTATGGGCTGTGGTGGGTGGGAGTCTGTGGTCTTTGGGGCAGAATTACCTCCTCAGCAGGCCCCTGTCCTTGGGCTCTGTCTCCGCAGCCCCTGCAGGACGCTGGAAATCAGTCTTTCTCTGGTCTGGGTGAAGATGGACAGAGTCTCAGCCCTGGGAACATTAGAACTCCCATTCTACACATGCAACTTGAGGGAAAGAAGGAAAACTAAAAATATTCCTGCATGGATGTTCCAAATATTTTATGAGATAGAAAAAAACTCCCATGAATACTGAAGTTTGTAAATGCGTATTGAAATTACGTGCCCCTGGAACCGGTTTTCTAAACTGACACCCCTGTGTGTTTGGGTTCCCTCTGGCTGGTGCCCTGAGCCCACCCTCGGTCGACCCATGGGTCCCCCGCTTCCCTACTCACCAGATGTCCTGTGTTTGCTGTGACGCTGACGTCGGAGGAGGAGGAAGAGGAGGAGGAAGAGCAGCAGGACGAAGGCCACCGAGACCCCAATCAAAACCTCCAGGTATCTTCCCAGACCTTGACATGAGGACGTCAGGAGTGGGAATGATGTCATTGATGTGAGCACCTACTGTGTGCAGGCGCGAGCCAGGTCTTTCCTTCGTGACCTCCAACCCTCACAAGCAGTCGTGCAACATGGAATTGCCACCCGTACAACCCATTTCACAGATGCACAAACTGAGGCTCAGAGCAGGGAGTCGCCTGCCCCAGGCCTCCAGCGAGGAAGCGGCAGAGCTGGGAAGGGAGCCCGGGAGTCTGACCTGCAGCCCTTGTTCCTGCACCAGAGCCGAGACCCGGAGCTGCAGGGAAAGAGCCTGACCGTCCTGAACCACGGCCCTGCTCCCCTCCCCTGCCCCAGGTCACCGTCACTGCTGCAGGTGGGACGGGACAGGCCCCTGTGGAATCGGGTCTGGGAGGTTCCCTGGGAGGCCTCCTCTCCCAGGAGGTCACAGCTGGGGGTCAGAGCTGAAAGGAACTTTCCCACCCACAGGCCTCTCTCCTTTACACTTGGAGAAACTGAGGCCCAGGCAGGGGAGGGGCCTGTCCACATCACCACCTCCAGAGGAGCCTGAACCTAGGACAGAACCCACCCCTGCCTCCCCTGGACCCCGCCCATCTCCCACTCAGAGCCCCTCACTCACGATTCTGAGGGCCTGACCCTGGGGGGTTAAGGGGCTGGTCCTCAGGACCTCCTGGGTCAGGACAGGGAGGTGAAGGCTGGGGCTGTCTTGCCCCCCACATCAGCCCGGCTCCTCCTCCTGGCTGGGCCCCAACATCTCCCTCTGCCTCGACCCCCCACTCTTCACCAGCCCAGCCTCAGAGCCCCTGGGACACAAGCCCGTCCTTGAGGGGAGGGGAGTGGGATCCTTTGGGAGACTCAGACTGCCCTGGGGGAGGCGGCGCTCCCCACGAGGCCTCAGTGACTCACCAGGTGTGGAGGGCGGCCCTGTGGGTGGGAGGCTGGAGCCTCCAGAGTGTCCTGGAAGGAGCACGGGAGGCGGGTGAGGGGCGGGGGCCGTCCATGGAGTGCACCCTTCCACTCCCACTCTCCTGCTTCCGCCCAGTGGATTCCCTGGAACCATCTCTCTGCCCACCTGGTGCCTTCTGCATGCCAGGCAGGGGAGAACGGGTGGCCACGCCTAGGAGAACCCCTGTTGGCCTCCTCCCCTCTGAGGGCTGGGTGCCCTCTGGCTAAGCCTCCCTCACAGCCTCCCTCGGTCCATCCCAGCCGAGAGCTCTCCTGGGGGCCTGGGCCTGAGCTGAGCCTTTGAGCTCAGAGAGGACGGGGTCAGCGCCCTCACCTGAGACCACGAGCTCCAGGGGCTCACTGGGGTGAGACAGCAGGTGGGGGTTGGAGCTGTATGAGCCGTAGCACCTGTAGGTCCCCGCGTGGGCTGAGGTCACAGGACTCATGGGGAATTC